>NT_167249.2:300000-600000 GCF_000001405.40 Homo sapiens | reverse complement strand
TCTAATCGGCATCTGTATCTTCATTACAGTAAAATATCATTTGCATCTACATCCTGATTATGATGAAATGTGGAGACAACATCATCAATGTAATATTGAAAGATTACTGAGAACAGAATAAATACCACACCAGCAACATAGTTGGGAATTTTGCTTATTTAATATATGTCTTCTGGTTAGCTATTCACTCCATTTGGGTTTTCATATCTTCTCTTCTAAAAAGTTTTAGTATACTACCATCAACTCTACATGCATGGATATGTAATGGTGGCAACAGAGTGTAGATTAAAATAGAAGGAAAAGGCAGAACTTCCCAAAAACAGGTCAAACGAAGGCCGGCATGAAGACTACAGGAGGATGTGCAGCCAGGGAGAACGAAGACATCTTGGCATGTTCATCTGCTTGGTACAGATCCTGGTCAGAAAACACCATAAGAACTGGAGCACTTTATAAAGTCTGCATGATAAAAGGATGGAGTGCCATGACTCGTTTTACCCCTTCCAAGCTTTAATGCTAGTCCTACTCAGAACATTTAAAAATAGGGAGAAAAAAGCCAAAAAAACAAACAAAATTACACACACAAAAAAACAATCAGTCCTTAGAAATTTGTTTGCTGTGAAAATGCAACTTTAAAAATATCTGGATACATTTGATGAAATTTTAATCTCTGGAAGAAATCACCAGAAAGAGTTTTAAATATGTGAATCCTTGAAATTTGAGGATGTATATGAATTTGTAATCTCTCAGCATCATTCTCAGCACATATAAACTTAATCATTTTCCCTCTCTCTCCCTTCTTTATTCTCATATTTTCTAATTACTGATACTATTTTTTCCACCAAAATTGCCTCTATCCTGCTCTTTGCCCATCCAAATTACACAATTCCTTTATCATATAATTTCTAAAGAATAACTCCAATTGCAAATTTTTCCATTCCCTACAATCCCAAATTTCTTTTTTTGTTTGACTCTTATCTTTTAGTAAATTTGTCTTGTGTTTTTCTCTAGTTGTTTTATAAAAGACATTTATAAAAGACTGGGATTTCCTCCAAATCCCAGTCATTCCATTCATTAGCTGTGTGACTTTGGAGATGTCATTTAATCTTTGTGTGCTTCAATTTTCTCATCTTTCAAATAAGCATAATTATACCCATCTCATAGAACTAGTGTACAAATTAAGGAATAGAGTGTACATTGCAAACATAGCTCAGTTCTTGTCATATACTAATAATTCAATGACTATTAACAATTATTATATACTTACCTAATTATGAATCCCCAGATGTATTACAGTTGTTTTATTTTTATGCATTTATGCAGTTTATAATGATATTTGTAACAATAAACAAATATTTATTAGAGGATAGTAAACAAAATGTGACTGCTCTGAAATCAGCTCAGGATCCTCTATTTACTTTTCTGATCCTCTCAGTTGCCCTATGTCATATTCTTCTTGTGATCCTGACTTAGTAGGGTTCATGTACTTAGTTGGCCAGCTCTATATTTCAAATCGTGTCATCTGAGTTACGGTATCCGTGTGAATGAAATGAGTGACAGTGAGAAATGATAGGGATAAAAACTTGCTTCACAGCTAAACATAAGAATCACTAAATTCAAAACTGATTTTAGTATCCATCCATTAACACTTCTAATTTCTTCATTTGCTTATAGAATAACAATTCTTTTGGTATGCAGAGGTCATCATTCTCTTTGAATTATAATTGCATACATGTCACGTAAGATGTCAGCTGGAGTAATTTCTTCTTCACCATTGTCTCTCAAATCTATCTATTAAATCTGTATCTATCTAAAAACATTAAGGCAGACATACAGAAAATAGTTCAGTGTCCCATGATCTCTAGCTTTCAAACTGGTATTCTTACTTACAATTGTTCTCTCATCTTCAAAACAACCTAGCTGGTTTGGAGAACAGTCTTTCCATCGTTAAAATGTGGCCATGTACATTTCAATTCAAAATTATTCAGTGGCTCTCCATATTCTGACACATTATATTAAAATGCAACCTTGGACTCAGGCCTCATATAACAATCGCTTGAACCATGCAGACATATTCACTGATCCAACCAAACTTGTGACCTTCCCCCTTGACCCCTTGTATTTATGCTGATGTGAAATGCCATTGTTGTTATGTATCCTGTAAGGATCATCTCAAATATAAAAATGTCCTTAAGTATTTCCTGCTCTCCTTTCTTACTGGTCGTCCAGAGCATTTTATTTGTAATTTCTTGATGATATACTCATTTATAAATATGACATATATACATGATATATATATATATACATGATATATATATATCATGTATATATGATTTGATAATTTTTTCATGATATACATATATACTCATATATAGATATATATCTATATATGGGAGAGATAGAGATTTTTTTCTGTCTTTTTTGTACTCGATATGTTTTCCTGACTATATCGATTACATACTCTTTGAAAAGAGTCAGCACGTGACTTTTAGACATAAGAGTATATGTTAAATATAATAGATATTTACTACATGTTAATCAATTTGAATTTAGTTGAAACCAGCAATCATGAAGCTTTTTCCTTTGGTGCTCTGATATGTTATTCCTAGATTACATTAGCATTTTGATATCATTATTTTTCACCTATGACCTCAATCAGTTTCACTGATATTTCATCACAACCAAACCCATATACATCATTTACTAATTCAGAGCCCAAGAGGTCAAAGCAGAGTTAAAATATGCCCCATTGGCAGTTTTAGGGTTTTATTGCTAATTCTCAAATTGATGTAACTAATTAACCAATAAATACATTTATTTTACTTACTAAAAATGCATGGACTTTAAATATGTCACTTCATACCCTTGTGACCTGGTTTGTTCAACCAGATCAAGAGAATTAAAATACTTGCATATAAACTCCATAGTACTTTAATGACAATTAAATGTATATTTCCTTTGTAAATTAAAAAAAAACTTATAAAAGACCACATATAATACAAAAGCAGTAGCTGCAATATTAGTAGGACTACTCACATGGTAAAATTACATAGAAGTGATTCTAGAAACTTCTGGGACGTCTCCTTTTTTAAACCTTGTCATTTTGTATCTCTATAATGCCACTCTTCATTCAAACTGGTGCTATCCAATTCCTTTCTTCTCCCATTTCTCACCTGGGACAGTGAGTCTTTAGGAATAGAGCCTTAAAAATATGATTACGGCCGGGCGGGGTGGCTCACGCCTGCAATCCCAGCACTTTGGGAGGCCGAGGCGGGCGGATCATGAGGTCAGGAGATCGAGACCATCCTGGCGAACAAGGTGAAACCCCGTCTCTACTCAAAATAAAAAAAAAAATTAGCCGGGTGTGGTGGCAGCCACCTGTAGTCCCAGCTACTCGGGAGGCTGAGGCAGGAGAATGGCGTGAACCCGGAGGGGGCGGAGCTTGCCATGAGCCGAGATCGCACCACTGCACTCGAGCCTGGGAGACAGTGAGACTCCGTCTCAAAAAAAAAAAATAATATATATATATATATAATATATATATATATATATATATGATTACATTTTGTATTGTATCCCCAAAGAAATGGAACACATATCTCTGCCAGTTGATTAGAAGATTATTATATGAATATATTTTGATTCAATACTGAGAAACAATTTTATCTTTACATATATATTTCTGAATCAAATTTTGCCTTATCTATTATGGTCAAAGGAAGACTTCTTCTGTGTTGTAGGATTTCTTATAGAAGAATACTTCTTAATCAGTATTCAAGTAATTCCTTGTCCAATTAAAATCCTAAAAAGACAATTTTGGAATGCTACCTTCATTCTGTCTGGATTGTTTTCTTGCTAGAGTCTCTTTCAGAATCTCATTTAGTTAGAACTCAGATAATGTTCTAAATCTGAAGAAAGCTGTGTTTCTTTTCCTACATTTCAAAATTAGTAATAACATTTTCACAATCTTTATATTTTTCTACTGCTTCTCTTCCAGTAGGCACAGCTATTTGTTTCTATTAAGTTCTATTAAGTACTATTAAGTTTCTGGGGTAAGTTTGGAAAGTTATGAATAAAATTAATTATATACTTTACCCGAGGAAAACAGTAAAGTTATTAAAGAAGTATATGTAGCCTGTTCCCCTGGTTTTCCATATACTTCATTTGTGCTTAAATATTGAAAATTTATAGGAAATAGAGGTAAAATGAGTAACAAGGAAATAATAGCAGCAGATAAACTCAGAAAGTAAAGAGAGAAGAAAAATGGAAAGAAAAAAATAAGACAGAAAAAAGAAGTACATAAAGATGGTAAATTTTTGTCTGATACATAGTAATAGTCACATAAGTAGCTGTCAAATATATGAATATAAAAAGAAATGGAAGAAAAATAGAAAATAAAAATGAAAGATCTAAGACTAAATTCAGTAATTCAGTTTAAATGTCTAGAAAGGATGCAGGGAGTTCTTGCCTTTCTGACTGTATAAGAATAATACGGAATTCGCCTAAATCAAAAGTTAAAAACAGGCTGATAATCCCCTTGAGGGTGAAAAACTGGAGCTGGGAGACAGAAGAATCTATAGATCTCTGGCAAATGGAGTGCACAAAAAAACGAAGGGTGAGCAGAGTAGAAGTATCTGACCACATGGTTTAAGAACACATGAAGCCCATTATTTTAAACGTTTACATCCTAATACACTCTTCATTAACTTTCTAAGCATGGCTCTAATATAATATGTTAATAAACAAAACTGAAACAATATTTAGATTTTCATTCTACCTGACTTATTTTATATACTTCCTCTTCATGTTACTTTGTAAGAACTTTTGCTATAGTTTTAATTCCATGCTATCAGATTCCCTTGTTCTAAATTGTCATAGATTTAAACAACTTTTTGTTGTTGTTTGTTTTTGTTTTTGTTTCTGTTCTGCCACCCAGGCTGGAGTGCAGTGATGTGATCTCAGCTCACTGCAACCTCCGCTTCCCAGGTTCACACGATTCTCCTGTCTCAGCCTCCAGAGCAGCTGGAATTACAGGTGTGCACCACCACACCCAGCTAATGGATTTAAACAACCTTTGATTATCTGAGTGGTAGGCCTTTCAGAGCTAAATTTTCTCAAAAATCAACATCTTAATAGCTACAATCTTTGTAATGGAAATAGCAGTTTCAGTCTAGAAAAGTGGTTAAAAAAAGGTACACCTAAAAATACTTAAATGAAAATATAAAGTTTCAAAGGTAAATAACATGATTGGTAACACATATTTTTCCATCAGTCTCCTAATAATAGAATAGTGTTTAACAAAGATTGGCAAACACCAGATAGTTCATATCAAATTTTCTATCCATAAACTTAAATTTTAAGTATATAATTGCTTTCATACAAGTATGTTTGTTTTCTTCTTATAATATGCCTCTAAAGAACGATTTTTTTATATAACAGAAGAGAGGAAACGCAGGCACCAAGAGGTTGTAGGACTTGCTCAAGTTTATAGATCTAGTAAATTCAGAAGAAAAGATTTGAATAATACAATATTTTGAATCCTACATCAGTATACTTTTCATAAGCTTATTGTTCTCTCAAACAAAAATGTATGTGGCTTGTAGAATAAACCTTTTTACATTTTAAAAAATTTTTATTTTATAGTTCTACTCCTGAGTGCTCCCTTCAGCCTACTCCACGAAGTGATGACAACTTTAATTAATATTCCCTCTCCAAATCCCTTCAACATTTACCTGATGCTGGGTTGTAATCCATCAGTTTGTCTGGAATGTGACATGGAGATACGGAGTCCTGGAAGACTGACCTGGGGCCCAAACATGATCCTCAAACCAGTTTGTTGTTTGAATTTCTTCTCAGCCCTCTTTAACATCAACCCAGCTCTCTCTGACCTACTGAAGGGTCAACCTCAAGAAACCAACTCCAACTGATGGCCATCCATAGAATACATAGCTCTTCAGGGAGCTTTCATGCCATTACTGCCTCACTCTCATACTTCCGTTTAAGCCTCCGAGATTCAAAATAATTAGCCTCTACTGCTGCCAACATGTCCAGGGAAAAATAACCAGAGGGACTAGAAAATGAGTATGCCACAGAAGAAATCAAGAAAATGTTTCTAACAAAATACAAACTTTGGGCATGTAAGTTTGGAGAGTCATCTAAGAAGAAAGAAAATTAATTCAAGCAAGACTAAATCTCATGGTTGCCAAGATGATTTTTTTCATTATACTTTAAGTTCTGGGATACATGTGCAGAACGTGCAGGTTTGTTACATAGGTACACACATGCCATGGTGGTTTGCTGCACCCATCAACCCGTCATCTACATTAGGTGTTTCTCCTAATGCACCCCACCCTCTAACAGGCCCCAATGTATGATGTTCCCCTCACTGTGTCCATGTGTTCTCATTGTTCAACTCCCATTTATGAGTGAGAATAAGGAGTGTTTGGTTTGCTGTTCCTGTGTTAGTTAATGAGAATCATGGCTTCCAGCATAATCCATGTCCCTGCAAAGAACATAAACTCATTCTTTTTTATGGCAGCATAGTATCCCATGGTGTATATGTGCCACATTTTCCTTATCCAGTCTATCACTGATGGGCATTTGGGTTCCAAGTCTTTGCTATTGTAAATAGTGCTGCAATAAACATATATGTGCGTGTGTCTTTATAGTGGAATGTTTTATAATCCTTTGGGTATATATCCAGTAATGGGATTTCTAGGTCAAATGGTATTTCTGGTTCTAGATCCTTCAGAAATCACCACACTGTCTTCCACAATGGTTGAACTAATTTACATACCCACCAACAGTGTAAAAGCATTCCTATTTCTCCACATCCTCTCCAGCCTCTCTTGTTTCCTGACTTTTTAATGATCACCATTCTAACTGGCATGAGATGGTATCTCATTGTAGTTTTGATTTGCATTTCTCTAATGACCAATGATGATGAGCTTCATTTCATATGTTTGTTGACCACATAAATGTCTTCATGCCTTCTTTTGAGAGGTGTCTGTTCATATTCTTCACCCACTTTTTGATGGGGTTGTTTTTTTTCTTGTAAATTTGTTTAAGTTATTTGTAGATTCTGGATATTAGTCCTTTGTCAGATGGATAGATTGCAAAAATTTTCTTCCATTCCGTAGGTTAACTGTTCACTCTGATGATAGTTTCTTTTGTTGTGCAGAAGCTCTTTAGTTTAATTAGATCCTATTTGTCTATTTTGGCTTTTGTTGCCATTGCTTTTGGTGTTTTAGTCATGATGTCTTTGACCATGCCTATGTCATGAATGGTATTGTCTATGTTATCTTCTAGAGTTTTTATGATATTGGGTCTTACATTTAAATCTTAATCCATCTTGAGTTAATTTTTTTATAAGGTGTAAGGAAGGGGTCCAGTTTCCGTTTTCTGCATATGGCTAGCCAGTTTTCCCAAAACCATTTATTAAATATGAAATCCCTTCCCCATTGCTTGTTTTTGTCAGGTTTGTCAAAGATCTGATGGTTGTAGATGTGTGGCATTATTTCTGAGGCCTCTGTTCTGTTCTATTGGTCTATATATCTGTTTTGGTATCAGTACCATGCTGTTTTGGTTACTGTATCCTTGTAGTATAGTTTGAAGTCAGGTAACATGATGCCTCCAGCTTTGTTATTTTTGCTTATGATTGTCTTGGCTATACGGGCTCTTTTTTGGTTTCATATGAAATTTAAAGTAGTTTTTTTCTAATTCTGTGAAGAAAGTCAATAGTAACTTGATGGGGATAGCATTGAATCTCTAAATTACTTCAGGCAGTATGTCCATTTTCACGATATTGATTATTCCCATCCATGAGCATGGAATGTTTTTTCATTTGTTTGTGTCCTCTCTTATTTCCTTGAGCCGTGGTTTGGAGTTCTTCTTGAAGAGGTCCTTCACATTCCTTGTAAGTTGTATTCCTAGGTATTTTATTCTCTTTGTAACAATTGTGAATGGGAGTTTACTCATGATTTGGCTGTTTGTCTATTATTGGTGTATAGGAATGCTTGTGATTTTTGCAAATTGATTTTGTATCCTAAGACTTTGCTGAAGTTGCTTTTCAGCTTAAGGAGATTTAGGTCTGAGACGATGGGGTTTTCTAAATATACAATCATGTCATCTGCAAACAGAGACAATTTGACTTCCTGCCTTCCTATTTGAATACACTTTATTTCTTTCTCTTGCCTGATTGCCCTGACCAGAACTTCCAATACTATGTTGAATAGGAGTGGTGAGAGAGGGCATTCTTGTCTTGTGCTGGTTTTCAAAGAGACTGCTTCCAGCTTTTGCCCATTCGGTATGATATTAGCTTTGGGTTTGTCATAAATAGCTCTTATTATTTTGAGACACGTTCCATCAATACCTAGTTTATTGAGAGTTTTTAGCATGAAGAGGTGTTGAATTTTATTGAAGGCCTTTAAAATAAACAACCTGACATCACAATTAAAAGAACTAGAGAAGAAAGATCAAACAAATTCAAAAGCTAGCAGAAGACAAGAAATAACAGATCAGAGCAGAGATGAAGGAGATAGAGACACAAGAAACCGTTCAAAAAATCAATGAATCCAGGAGCTGGTTTTTTGAAAAGCTTAACAAAATAGACCACTAACTGGACTAATAAAGAAGAAAACAGAGAAGAATCAAATAGACACGACAAAAAATGATAAGGGGGATATCACCACTGATCTTACAGAAATACAAACTACCATCAGAGGATACTATAAATAACTCTATGCAAATCAACTAGAAAATTTAGAAGAAATGGATAAATTCCTGGACACATACATCCTCCCAAGACTAAACCAGGAAGAAATCTAATCCCTGAATAGACCAATAACAAGTTCTGAAATTCAGGCAGTAATTAATAGCCTACCAACCAAAAAAGAAGCCCAGGATCAGACAGATTCACAGCCGAATTCTACCAGAGGTACAAAGAGGAGCTGGTACTATTCCTTCTGAAACTATTCCAAACAATAGAAAAAGTCGGAATCTTCCCTAACTCATTTTGTGAGGCCAGCATCATCCTGATACCAAAACCTGGCAGAGACACAACAAAAAAAGAAAATTTCAGGCCAATATCCCTGATGACATCGATGTGAAAATCCTCAATAAAATACTGGCAAACCGAATCCAGCAGCACATCAAAAAGCTTATCCACCATAATCAAATCGACTTCATCCCTGGGATGAAAGGCTGGTTCAACATACACAAATCAATAAACGTAATCCGTCACTTAAACAGAGCCAATGTCAAGGTGATTTTTAAAATATGGATTATGAAATAGGTAAATTTTTCCTTCACATGTACTTATTATTCTGATAAAGATATGACAACTTCATGCACTCGTTAAAATAATGTAAGTTTAAAATATGATTTTTTTTTCCTATTTCTTCCTATAGTGTTTCCTCATTCTCACTTAATGTATTGTATAAGATACTTCACAAACATAAGACATATTGATTCATTGGATAACATTGTCACTATATAAATTAGGAAAATACATTTTCATTATTCATATTTAGCTGATGACAATTCCAAAACTGAGAAAATCAAAGTTTCTCAAGATTACAGACAGGTAGACTAGGAACACAAACCAATGCTTCCAAATTTGATCTAGTTTTTCCTCCTCCAAGTTATTGAGCATAACTAATCTAGGCCCCTCAGAGTGAAGGTTGAAATTGTAATTCAACATATATTCTGGCCCACTATCTCCATTATATTAGCCTTTTTTTTCTGTTACAATCTTTCTGGAATAGTAGGAAAAATAATAGACATGAAAATGCTAAGACTGTGTATAAATACTTAATCGTCTTCTTGGACAGATAAGCTTAAATACCAGACTTTGCATTTCTTTATTTTAAAAAGTATACTTATCAAAACCACTAAATTAACTTGCTCTCAAATAAATAATGCGAAGCAAGGTTTTTGAAAGCATTTCATATCAGGCTTCAGAAATGAACCCAAATGTGTATGGAGATTTACTTTATCATGAAGGAGTAATTTCATATCATTACGTAAAGGCAGAACGTTTCAATGGAGTGTGTGTGTGCTAACTGATTTAAAATCAGGAAAAAAATAAATAAATTCCTATCTTTAATTTCAAAACAATAAAAATTTAAATGTAGAAATATTAGGCAAAAGACCTAAGATCACTTAAAGGCCTTAAATTATTGATGTATTTGATACATAAAAGTATTCACTTGACACAAATTTGCACATATTCATTCAGAAGTGGGTGTACAAAGACCTTTGTTGCAGTGTTGTTTGCATTAGCAAAAAGCTACACATCTCATAAATGACTACCAGTCCTGAAGTTGTTAAACACATCTTCATAATGTAATATTTTGCATTTATTAAAAATAGCGAGGCAAGTCTGTAGTTAGAGAATTGATATATTTAAGGAGAAAAAAGTTACAAGATGGTATTTATAAGATGACACAGGATGTTATCTCTCTACTAACCTATCAATATGCATATATAAATAAATGTATCTATTAAAACACATGAACACATACACAACTACCCCACATACACTAATATGTGTAAAGAATATCTTCAGAAAAGTGAAAAATGGCAAATAGTGAGATGGAGTAAGGAGTGGAAGAGGGATGTGTTTGCACCATAAATATCTTTATTGGGTATATTTCTTGTCATATTTTTTACATTTTTTGAATTTGTAACAATAATGAGCACAAAACAACAGCATTATGATGACCTTCCTGGGAAGTTTCCTGAGGAGGGCATGTAGAGCATAATTCCATTATGAAAAAAATGTGCTTAGAGTATGAAATGAAATAAACCAACATCTTACCTAATCAGATTATCTTCAATATTCATCTCTTTATTTTTAAAATTTTATGGTTTTATTTTTTTATTGATATAAATGGTTTCTTTATTTGTAGAATTACACTTAAAATTATTTTGAAGCAGCATGAACTCTCTCTGGATGGTATTAGAATTTCATACCCAAATAAACTTGAACATTACTTTTTTAAAATTTTATTATTATTATACTTTAAGTTTTAGAGTACATGTGCACAACGTGCAGGTTTGTTACATATGTCTACATGTGCCATGTTGGTGTGCTGCACCCATTAACTAATCATTTAGCAATAGGTATATCTCCTAATGCTATCCCTGCCCCCTCACCACACCCCACAACAGTCCCCCGTGTGTGATGTTCCCCTTCCTGTGACCACGTGTTCTCATTGTTCAATTCCCACCTATGAGTGAGAACATGCGGTGTTTGGTTTTTTGTCCTTGTGATAGTTTGCTGAGAATGATGGTTTCCAGCTTCATCCATGACTCTACAAAGGACATGAACTCATCATTTTTTATGGCTGCATAGTATTCCATGGTGTATATGTGCCACATTTTCTTAATCCACTCTATCATTGTTGGACATTTGGGTTGGTTCCAAGTCTTTGCTATTGTGAATAGTGCCGCAATAAACATATGTGTGTGTGTGTCTTTCTAGCAGCATGATTTATAATCCTTTGGGTATATACCCAGCAATGGGATGGCTGGGTCAAATGGTATTTCTAGTTCTAGATCCCTGAGGAATCGCCACACTGACTTCCACAATGGTTAAATTAGTTTACAGTCCCACCAACAGTGTAAAAGTGTTCCTATTTCTCCACATCCTGTCCAGCACCTGTTGTTTCCTGACTTTTTAATGATCACCATTCTAACTGGTGTGAGATGGTATCTCATTGTGGTTTTGATTTGCATTTCTCTGATGGCCAGTGATGATGAGCATTTTTTCATGTGTTTTTTGGCTGCATAAATGTCTTCTTTTGAGAAATGTCTGTTCATATCCTTCACCCACTTTTTGATGGGGTTGTTTGTTTTTTTCTTGTAAATTTGTTGGAGTTCACTGTAGATTCTGGATATTAGCCCTTTGTCAGATGGGTAGGTTGCAAAAATTTTCTCCCATTCTGTAGGTTGCCTATTCACTCTGATGGTAGTTTCTTTTGTTGTGCAGAAGTTCTTTAGTTTAATTAGATCCCATTTGTCAATTTTGGCTTTTGTTGCCATTGCTTTTGGTGTTTTAGACATGAAGTCCTTGCCCATGCCTATGTCCTGAATGGTATTGCCTAGGTTTTATTCTAGGGTTTTTCTGGTTTTAGGTCCAACATTGAAGTCTTTAATCCATCTTGAATTAATTTTTGTATAAGGTGTAAGGAGGGGATCCAGTTTCAGCTTTCTACATATGGCTAGCCAGTTTTCCCAGCACCATTTATTAAATAGAGAATCCTTTCCCCATTGCTTGTTTTTGTCAGGTTTGTCAAAGATCAGATACTGGTAGATATGTGGCATTATTTCTGAGGGCTCTGTTCTGTTCCACTGTTCTATATCTCTGTTTTGGTACCAGTACCATGCTGTTTTGGTTACTGTAGCCTTGTAGTATAGTTTGCAGTCAGGTAGCATGATGCCTCCAGCTTTGTTCATTTGGCTTAGGATTGACTTGGAAATGCAGGCTCTTTTTTGGTTCCATATGAACTTTAAAGTAGTTTTTTCCAACTCTGTGAAGAAAGTCATTGGTAGCTTGATGGGCAAGGCATTGAATCTATAAATTACCTTGGGCAGTATGGCCATTTTCACGATATTGGTTCTTCCTACACATGAGCAGGGAATGTTCTTCCATTTGTTTGTATCCTCTATTATTTCATTGAGCAGTGGTTTGTAGTTCTCCTTGAAGAGGTCCTTCACATCCCTTGTAAGTTGGATTCCTAGGTATTTGATTCTCTTTGAAGCAATTGTGAATGGGAGTTCACTCATGATTTGGCTCTCTGTTTGTCTGTTATTGGTGTATAGGAATGCTTGTGATTTTTGCACACTGATTTTGTATCCTGAGACTTTGCTGAAGTTCCTTATCAGCTTAAGGAGATTTTGGGCTGAGACGATGGGGTTTTCTAGATATACAATCATGTCATCTGCAAACAGGGACAATTTGACTTCCTCTTTTCCTAATTGAATGCCCTTTATTTCCTTCTCCTGCCTGATTGCCCTGGCCAGAACTTCCAACTCTATGTTGAATAGGAATGGTGAGAGAGGGCATCCCTGTCTTTTGCCAGTTTTCAAAGGGAATGCTTCCAGTTTTGTCCATTCAGTATAATATTGGCTGTGGGTTTGTCATAGATAGCTCTTATTATTTTAAGATACGTCCCATCAATACCTAATTTATTGAGAGTTTTTAGCATGAAGTGTTGTTGAATTTTGTCAAAGGCCTTTTCTGCATCTATTGAGATAATCATGTGGTTTTTGTCTTTGGTTCTGTTTATATGCTGGATTACGTTTATTGATTTTCATATGTTGAACCAGTCTTGCATCCCAGGGATGAAGGCCACTTGATCATGGTGGATAAGCTTTTTGATGTGCTGCTGGATTCAGTTTGCCAGTATTTTATTGAGGATTTTTGCATCAATGTTCATCAAGGATATTGGTCTAAAATTCTCTTTTTTGGTTGTGTCTCTGCCAGGCTTTGGTATCAGGATGATGCTGGCCTCATAAAATGAGTTAGGGAGGATTCCCTCTTTTTCTATTGATTGGAATAGTTTCAGAAGGAATGGTAGCAGCTCCTCTTTGTACTTCTGGTAGAATTCGGCTGTGAATCCATCTGGTCCTGGACTTTTTTTGGTTGGTAAGCTGCTAATTATTGCCTCAATTTCAGAGCCTGTTATTGGTCTATTCAGAGATTCAACTTCTTCCTGGTTTAGTCTTGGGAGGGTGTATGTGTCGAGGAATTTATCCATTTCTTCTAGATTTTCTAGTTTATTTGTGTAGAGGTGTTTATAGTATTCTCTGATGGTAGTTTGTATTTCTGTGGGATTGGTGGTGATATCCCCTTTATCATTTTTTATTGCGTCTATTTGATTCTTCTCTCTTTTCTTCTTTATTAGTCTTGCTAGTGGTCTATGAATTTTGTTGATCTTTTCAAAAAACCAGCTTCTGGATTCATTGATTTTTTGAAGGGTTTTTTGTGTCTCTATTTCCTTCAGTTCTGCTCTGATCTTAGTTATTTCTTACCTTCTGCTAGCTTTTGAATGTGTTTGCTCTTGATTCTCTAGATGTTTTAATTGTGATGTTCTGGTGTCAGTTTTAGATCTTTCCTGCTTTCTCTTGTGGGCATTTAGTGCTATAAACTTCCCTCTACACACTGCTTTAAATGTGTCCCAGAGATTCTGGTATGTTGTGTCTTTGTTCTTGTTGGTTTCAAAGAATATCTTTATTTCTGCCTTCATTTCATTATGTACCCAGTAGTCATTCAGGAGCAGGTTGTTCAGTTTCCATGTAGTTGAGTGGTTTTGAGTGAGTTTCTTAATCCTGAGTTGTAGTTTGATGGCACTGTGGTCTGAGAGACAGTTTGTTATAATTTCTGTTCTTTCACATTTGCTGAGGAGAGCTTTATTTCCAGCTATGTGGTCAATTTTGGAATAGGTGTGGTGTGGTGCTAAAAAGAATGTATATTCTGTTGATTTGGGGTGGGGAGTTCTGTAGATGTCTATTAGGTCCGCTTGGTGCAGAGCTGAGTTCAATTCCCAGGTATCCTTGTTAACTTTCTGTCTCGTTGATCTGTCTAATGTTGACAGTGGGGTGTTAAAGTCTCCCATTATCATTGTGTGGGAGTCTAAGTCTCTTTGTAGGTCTCTAAGGACTTGCTTTATGAATCTGGGTGCTCCTGTATTGGGTGCATATATATTTAGGATAGTTAGCTCTTCTCGTTGAATTGATCCCTTTACCATTATGTAATGGCCTTCTTTGTCTCTTTTGATCTTTGTTGGTTTAAAGTCTGGTTTTTCAGAGACTAGGATTGCAACCCCTGCCTTTTTTTGTCTTTCATTTGCTTGGTAGATCTTCCTCCATCGCTTTATTTTGAGCCTATGTGTGTCTCTGCATGTGAGATGGGTTTCCTGAATACAGCATACTGACGGGTCTTGACTCTTTATCCAATTTGCCAGTCTGTGTCTTTTAATTGGCGCATTTAGCCCATTTACATTTAAGGTTAATATTGTTATGTGTGAATTTGATCCTGTCATTATGATGTTAGCTGGTTATTTTGCTTGTTAGTTGATGCAGTTTCTTCCTAGCCTTGAAGGTCTTTACAATTTGGCATGTTTTTTCAGTGGCTGGTACAGGTTGTTCCTTTCCATGTTTAGTGCTTCCTACAGGAGCTCTTTTAGGGCAGGCCTGGTGGTGACAAAATCTCTCAGCATTTGCTTGTCTGTAAAGGATTTTATTTCTCTTTCACTTATGAAGCTTAGCTTGGCTGGATATGAAATTCTGGGTTGAAAATTCTTTACTTTAAGAATGTTGAATATTGGCCCCCACTCTCTTCTGGCTTGTAGAGTTTCTGCCGAGAGATCCACTGTTAGTCTGATGGGCTTCCCTTTGTGGGTAACCTGACCTTTCTCTCTGGCTGCCCTTAACATTTTTTCCTTCATTTCAACTTTGGTGAATCTGACAATCATGTGTCTTGGAGTTGCTCTCCTCGAGGAGTATCTTTGTGGCATTCTCTGTATTTCCTGAATTTGAATGTTGGCCTGCCTTGCTAGATTGGGGAAGTTCTCCTGGATAATACCCTGCAGAGTGTTTTCCAACTTGGTTCCATTATCCCCGTCATTTTCAGGTGCACCAATCAGACATAGATTTGGTCTTTTCACATAGTCCCATATTTCTTGGATGCTTTGTTCGTTTCTTCTTATTCTTTTTTCTCTAAACTTCTCTTCTCGCTTCATTTCATTCATTTCGTCTTCCATAACTGATACCCTTTCTTCCAGTTGATTGCATCGGCTACTGAGGCTTGTGCATTCATCACGTAGTTCTCGTGCCATGGTTTTCAGCTCCATCAGGTCCTTTAAGGACTTCTCTGCATTGGTTATTCTGTTTATCCATTCATCTGATTTTTTTTTCAAGGTTTTTAACTTCTTTGCCATTGGTTCAAACTTCCTCCTTTTGCTAGGAGTAGTTTGATCCTCTGAAGACTTCTTCTCTAAACTTGTCAAAGTCATTCTCCCTCCAGCTTTGTTCCGTTGCTGGTGAGGAGCCGCATTCCTTTGGAGGACGAGAGGCGCTCTGATTTTTAGAGTTTCCAATTTTTCTGCTCTGTTTTTTCCCCATCTTTGTGGTTTTATCTACCTTTGGTCTTTGATGATGGTGACGTACAGATGGGTTTTTGGTGTGGATGTCCTTGCTGTTTGTTAGTTTTCCTTCTAACAGTCAGGACCCTCAGCTGCAGGTCTGTTGGAGTTTGCTGGAGGTCCACTCCAGACCCTGTTTTCCTGGGTATCAGCAGCAGTGGTTGCAGAACAGCAGATATTGGTGAACCGCAAATGCTGCTGCCTGATTGTTCCTCTGGAAGTTTTGTCTCAGAGGAGTACCTGGCCGTGTGAGGTGTCAGTCCGCCCCTACTGGGGGATGCCTCCCAGTTAGGCTACTTGGGGGTCAGGGACCCACTTGAGGAGGCAGTCTGCCCGTTCTCAGTTCTCAAGCTGCGTGCTGGGAGAACCACTACTCTCTTCAAAGCTGTCAGACAGGGACATTTAAGTCTGCAGAGGTTACTGCTGCCTTTTGTTTGTCTGTGCCCTGCTCCCAGAGGTGGAGCCTACAGAGGCAGGCAGGCCTCCTTGAGCTGTGGTGGGCTCCACCCAGTTCGAGCTTCCTGGCCGCTTTGTTTACCTACTCAAGCCTTGGCAATGGTGGGTGCCCTCCCCCAGCCTTGTTGCTGCCTTGTAGTTTGATCTCAGACTGCTGTGCTAGCAATGAGCAAGGCTCCTTGGGCGTAGGACCCTCCGAGCCAGGTGCTGGATATAATCTCCTGATGTGCTGTTTGTTGAGCCCATTGGAAAAGCACAGTATTAGGTTGGGAGTGACCCAATTTTCCAGGTGCTGTCTGTCACCCCTTTCTTTGACTAGGAAAGGGAATTCCCTGACCCCTTGTGATTCCCAGGTGAGGCGATGCCTCGCCCTGCTTCGGCTCACACATGGTGCACTGCACCCACTGTCTTGCACCCACTATCCGGCACTCCCCAGTGAGATGAACCCAGTACCTCAGTTGGAAATGCAGAAATCACCTGTCTTCTGTGTTGCTCACGCTGGGAGCTGTAGACTGGAGCTGTTCCTATTCGGCCATTTTGGCTCCACCCTGGTTAGTTGAGTTTTTAAATCAACCCAATGAAGAAATGGTCTTAGCTTCTCCCAGCTGTTTGAGCCAGCACATAAAATTAGAATATCTTTTAAGGGCTCTCATGTTGATAAATTTGGCTTAATCCACATTTGGTTCAGTCAAATGTTTTCTCTCTTCATGACAATCCATTCCAATATAATCCCCAAGATTTTTGTAGCTTAAAATGGCAAATTTTATCATTATTTTCTGTCTCCTGACACACTGTTAGTGTTAGTCTGATGGGCACACAACAAGTGTCATCTCTCAGCATGCTCCAGGGAGACAGAAACATCCTACCTAGTTGTGTTGTGATTAATCATGATAACTGATACCCTCTTTAAAGGTATTGCCTCAGATATCATTTCAAAAACTTCAGCCAAATCATGGTCATTTCACCAAACAAAAGAAATAGGGTGACCTGACATGAAAACAAAGATTTTTTTTTTATTTTGGGATTGATAGCACTGTAATTTACTTGAAACTATCTAGATATTCTCAACACTACAGGAGCAAACTTGGATGGGTATTTTGCCACAAGTGCAGCAGAAAAGCTAAGATAATTCACTCCAATGCACTACAAGCTTTCATAATGTGTGCTGAAGTGTCCTTCCAAAGTTTGGGAGTGCCCTCAAAGGGCAGAAAGCTAGGGACAGGACTGGGAAGCAAATAGAAGTCCCCACTGACCCAAAAGGCTGGCAGCCAGACTATAAAGCAAAGAGAAATCTCCCGTAGTCCAAAAGGCTGGTAGCCTCACTATAAAACATCAAGACTTATCTGGACTCTCACCAGAATTCAGGCCCACCCTTCCTTCAAAATAGTTGAAGACAGTGGTTAACTGAATTTAACCAAGTTTACAACAGGTTTAAGCTTAGCTACACATCAGACAGTCTGAGTTCCCCATACTCATACCCTGATAAATAAGGAATGTGTCCTATCCTGAGGATAAATACTACTTACTATTTATTTCTGTCCCTACAAGTATTTTTTACAAATTGTTATGGACTGTTTGTGTCACTCCAAATTTATATGTTGAAGCACTTACCACAATGTGATGATATTTGGAGGTAGAGTCTTTGGGAAGTTAAATTAGGTTTAGATGCAGTCATGAGAGTGGGGCCCCCATGTCAGGGTTAGTGTTTTTATAAGAAAAGGAAGAAAGATCAGAGTTTTATCTACACAATGTGAGAATACAGTGAAAGGTCTGTCAGCAAGAGAGACTTCACCAAAAACTAAATTTTCTGGCACCTTAAATTTGGACATTCCAGCTTCCAGAATTATGAGAAATAAATGTCTGTTGTTTAAGCCACCCAAGCTATGGTATTTTGTTATAACATCCTGAGCTAAGACATATTTTTGTACCAGGAGTGGGATGTAGCTGAAAATGTAGAAGTGGCTTTAAAACTGGAAAAGGGGTAGAAGTTAAGGAATTTGGGGATGCATGCTATAAATATGCACAATAATAGCTATTCTGTTTAGGGCTTATACAGAATATAAGACTGCTGGAGAAAAACTTCCATTTTCTTATAGAATACATAAATAATTATAAACAGAATGTTGGCAGAAATATGTATGGTAAAGGTCATTCTGGGGAAGGCTTAGACAGAAATGAAGAATAAGCTATTGGACAATTGAGAAAAAGTGATTCTTTTTATAAAGTGGTAAAGAACTTGGCTGAATTATGTTCATGTTTTATTGTTTTGTGGAATGTAAAACTAGTAAGTGATGAAATTAACAGTGAACATAGCTGACATTTCTAATCAAAGTGTTGAAGGAGTCACTTTGTTCATCCTGACTGCTTCTACTAAGATGCAAGAAAAAAAAAAGAGATAAATGAATCAAAAAAGGAATTGTTAAAAAAAAAAAGGAGCTGGAACTTAAAAAATTGGAAAGTTCTCAGCCTATCCACACTGCAAAAGATGAGAAAGCATGCTGAGAAAAAAAAAAAACCACCAAAGGTGTGGCTGGACCCTCACTCGATAAAGAGATTACGGGATTATATAAGCAGAAACACTGTCAGTCTGAACTGAAGGAGATGGGAATGGGATAAAATGAAGAAAGTCTGTCAGACTTCTTAGATTCTTTGGGACTGGACCATAGAGCTATTCAGATGTGAATGTGTGATATTACTCTTCAAGACAAGGGAAGAAAGACCCTAAAGGTGTTTTAGAGATTATCTGGGCTGCCACCTCAGATTTAAAGGTTGGGGCTATCATCTCAGTTTCAATGGGCAGTTGGTGTCAGAGTGGCTGCCAGAGCCTTTTGGGTACAATGAAGAGTCATGAGGACATGACCCCTTCCCTGCAGAGCTACAGAGGTCCGACTATCTACTATCCCAGTTTGTCCAGAAAGTGGGACTGTCATCCCAGTAGACCCAGAAGGCAAATTATGAAACCAAAGATTATCCTTGAGCTTTAAGATCTAATGGTATTTGCATTACAAGATTTTAGATTTGCTTGGAACCTGCCACCCCTTTCTTTCTTCCAGGTGTTGGAATGAGAATGCCTATTCTATGTCTAATCTATCATTGTATTTTGGAAGTGTGTAATTTATCTGGTTTCACAGACTTATAACTGGGGATGAATTTTTCCTCAGGATTAATCGTATCTTGAGCCTCACCTATATCTGATTTAGATGATATTTAGATGAGACAGGACTTCCAATTTTAGAGTTGATCTTGGAATAAGTTAAGACTTTGGGGGCTACTGAAATAAGATCATTTTTTTTGTGTGTGTAAGAATAACATTAATTTGGGAGACAAAAGGCAGAATGCTATGGATTGAATGTCTGTGTACCCCCAAAATTCATATGTTGAAGCCCTAACCCTCCATGTGATGGTATTTGGAGATGGGGCCTTTGGAAAGTAATTAGGTTTAAATCAGGTCATGAGGGTGGGCCTCCATAAGGGGATTAGTGACCTCATAAAAGGAAGAGGGACCATAAAAGGAAGAGCACACTCTTTCCCTACCACTTGAGGGAACAGCAAGTGAAAAGGCAGCCGTCTGCAAGTCAAGAAGTAGGGCCTCATCAGGAACTGCACCTCCTACTCCTTTATCTTAAACCTCCCAGCCTCCAGAACTTTGAGAAATAAGTGTCTGTTGTTTATTCCACCCAGCCTGTGGTATTTTGTTAGAGCAGCCCAAGCTGACCAAGACACACAATGCCTGGCATAAAATAAAAATTAAACACTATGAGGCACACTAACAAGCAAGAAAAATAGAAACAGTGCACGCCTGTAATTCCAGCTACTAGCGAGGCTGGGGCAGGAGAATCACTTGAACCTGGGAGGCAGAGGTTGCAGTGAGCAGAGATCACCCAGGCACTCCAGCCTGGGTAACAGAGTAAGACTCCGTCTCAAAAAAAAAAAAAAAAAAAAAAAAAAGAAAGAAAAAGAAAAAAGAAAAAGAAAGAAACAGGAGTCATTTGAAGCTAAAAAGAGGAAATATTCAAGTGAAGTATATCCAGACATGGTTCAGACATTAGAATCATCAGATAAGAATTTTTTAAATATGTTTTAACATTTCGCTGGTAAAGGCAGACAAGATTTATGAACAAAGGGGAGATCTCAACAAAGAGATTAGCATTGTACAGAAGAACCAAATGGAAATGTTGGATATAAAAAAAAACATACCAGAAATAATATAAGAAATAAATAATTAATTTGGTGGGCTTAACAATAGGCTGGACTCAGTAGAGGAAAGAATTCATGAACTGAAATACAAGTCAATTGAAATTATCCAAACTTCAACCCAAAGAGAAAAAAGAAAAAGCATCCAAGTTATGTAGGATAATATTATCTCCTCTGACACATGAGTACTTGGAGCTCCAGAATATAAGAAAAAGAAATAAACAGAAAAAAATCTTAAGAGATAATGGTTGAGAATTTTCCAAAATTAATGACACCACCATAAATCCGAGAAGTTCACCAAACCCAATGCAAAATAAATAAGAAAATCACACCGTTGCCCTTTACCAAAATGATGACATGGATTTCCCTTAAGAAAAAACAGAATGATCAATGATAGCCACTTCAGTGGTTTTATACTCCTTGGATTCACAGGGCAGCCTCAGCTTCAGATGATGATCTCTGGGGTTGTCTTTTTCTTCTACACTATTGCCTTCATGGGAAATATGGCCATCATCCTATTGTCTTTCCTAGATGACCATCTCCAAGTCCCCATGTACTTCTTCCTTAGAAATTTGGCCATCTTGGATCTCTGTTATACCACAAATATAGTCCCACAAATGTTGGTCAGTATCTGGGGCAAAGACAAAAGAATTACCTTTGGTGGGTGTGCCTTTCAACTTTTCATTGATGTGGCACTGTACTCAGTTGAATGCATCCTTCTGTCCATGATGTCATATGATCGACTCAATGCTATCTGCAAGCCTCTGCATCATATGACCATAATGAACCTCCAACTCTGCCAGGGCCTTGTGGTCATCTCCTGGGTAGTTGGTGTGATTAATTGCATCATACCTTCCCCTTATGCCACGAGTCTTCCTCGATGTAGGAACCACCACCTAGACCACTTTTTTGTGTGTGTGAAATGTCTGCAATGATCAAGATTCAAGATTGCATGTGTGGACACCACAGCCATGGAGGTAACCACATTTGCCATGTGCCTGATTATAGTTCTTGTTCCTCTTCTTCTTATTCTTGTGTCATATGGTTTCATTGCTGTGGCTGTACTCAAGATCAAGTCTGCAGCAGGAAGACAAAAAGCATTTGGGACCTGTTCCTCCCATCTCGTTGTGGTATCCATCTTCTGTGGGACAGTTACATACATGTATATACAGCCAGGAAACAGTCCAAATCAGAATGAGGGCAAACTTCTCAGTATATTTTACTCCATTGTTACTCCCAGCTTGAACCCATTAATTTATACGGTAAGGAATAAGGAGTTCAAGGGGGCCATGAAGAGGCTAACTGGAAAAGAAAAAGATTGCATGGAAAAAAGAGGACATTGATTCTTCCTCCCAGCAATTTCTAATATGGCAATTGATCTTCCCAATCTAAAATGTAGACAATTTATTTTGTAAATAAATTGTCTACACCTGAGATAAAGATAATATCCATTAAAAATATAATAAAATTATAATAAAAATTATAATTAAGCCGAATGTATTTATTGAATACTTAATCCATGATGATTGGTATATGTACAAAACTCATATTTAAAATGAAATTATAAACTAAAGTGCCAACACTAAAAATAACATGCTATGCACTGATTTCTTTTGGATTATATATGTTACAATTATATTGATATTGACCAATTTAACTCTAATAGTCTCCTTTGATTATGTTAACTAAATATTGTCATTAATTTAAGGAGATTAAAAGCTGTTTTCATTGCCCTCTATTTTAAGGTACAACACTTTTGCTCCAACCAGTCCCAGGAATATTTTTACACAGGCAAATCTCCAGCCTGAAGATGACAGCAGCAAAGCTAGTCGTTAACCAAGAAGACCAAGAGTTCTAGTTATCAATCATCTTTGAAAAGATCTCATGTTAATTAACCACAGTAATTTCCCCCTATCTTTCTCTGCTTAGATAATTACTCAAGGAGCTCAATTTTTGTGATCACAAAAGAAAAATATTTTTATCAGTTCCAATAATCATCTTTAAGATAATGCTTTTTTCTTTCCCACTTGGCCTTCCAAGTTTTTACTACTTATTTTGGGGATGAGCATGGAGGTATTGCCATGTCACCTGGTTTTAGATGTTCTACATTTTTTCTCTGAGTGCTTCAAGAAAACTGACACATAGAAAGGTGATTTATTTGGCTATTGAAATGGTCTTTCTGTCTTTTTCTGAAGTGTGTTTTTAAATGCATTTCTTTCTCATTTTTGTTGAGTTATTATCCTTTCCATATTTTGACTGAAGATAAATTTGATTTTTGTCTTGAAGATAAATGTTGATTCATGGGATAGTTCAGAGCTATGTTACCAACTTGTAACTTGAAAAAGAATTTTTGAAAACTTCCTTTATGTTTCTGATCCAATATCCAATATCACTTTTTCTTGCTCCATCTCTTGCTCATGTCCTAGTTATTTATACAGTCACATAATTCCATTCATGCCAAAAAGACTTTTTATTAAAAAAGCTAGAGTGATTAATTTTATTCCTTATACCCTCTTTCTCCCTTGAGAAAGTAGAAAACTTAAATAAAATGAAAAATCTAGAATATTTGATTTTGATATTTTTGTAGTTCTTGAGGATGAAAAATGAACTTAATAGGATTTTGAAGTCTAAATACTCCATTAGATAAGTTAAAGTAAAATTGTTTCAATAGCTGTTTTGAAGCATCATAAATTGAGATACTTGTAGGAACTACTTAAGCTCTGGAGTGACTTTTCTTTTTATTCCAGCTTCTCCGTTAATGACAGTACTTTCAGAAGTTGTCCTAAATCTCAGAGACACACCTAGCATTTTGCAGTATATATTTAGTACTTTTATGACTATTAAGAACGCCACATTTTCCAGGAATTCCAACATCTTTCAAAAAATAGAAGAGAGAGAAAACAGAGAAAAGGAAGTTACCAAAAGCAGACAGGAGAAATTTTCAGATCAAAAGAACATAAATGTACACCTTAAAGAATTATTGTACAATACACTGTGATGGAACACCCAAAAGCCCACCCAAGTCAAGTTTTAGAAAAATGTACTCAGAGGTGGCCAAAGTGCCGCTTCATGGTTATAATCCCTATCCTTCTCTCTCAACATTAATTATTATTCTTACATATATAGATTTCACACTTTTCCTTTCCTTTACAGATGTCTTACCTAACTATGCATCTCCAAATAATATGGTTTAATTTTTTTAATTTTTATATACATGGATTCTGTTGTACTTGAATTCTTTCAAATAACATTATATTTTTAAGATTCATCTATGCATTAAGCATTTCTGTACTTCACTTATTTCCACAGCTGTAAATACTTCATAATATACATATACAACTTATTTATTTATTCTGTCTTCATAAAAATTATAGTTTTTCACGTTTTCAAACCTCAGAAACAATTCTGCTTAGAATATTTTATGCATGTATTTTGGCTCATCTTGCATATGTATATATATCCTCATTGTATATTTGTACTCAGGTTTTTTGAAACACTGCCAAAATTTTCCAGAGTGGTTGCACCATATTAAACACTTATCAGTGTATGTGTTTCCATTGCTCTACATCTTCATCAATATTTGGTTTTCTTAGGTTTCTTTTTAATTTTAGTCAATCTGATGTGAGTGCATGATGGGTATAATTTTTGCTTTTATGATTATTGAAGCAAACGAGCACCATCCATTTCACAAATGCATTGGCCACTTATGTTTACCCTTTGAGATTTATCTATTCAGGTTTTTGCAATTTTTTACTATTTTTCTTATTGATATGAAGTATTTATATGTTCTGGATATGCCTTTTAACAAGCACAAGCACTAAAAATATCTCTTCCTTTTCTGTGATTTGTCTTTTGACTCCTAATGGTGTCACCTGATGAACAGAATTTTGTAGTTTCAATGATTGAAGTGTATTCATCATTTTTTACCTGTCAGTGATTTTTAAGACCAGTTACAGAAATAATTCCTCTTCCTAATAATACCTAATAATACCATAAAGTTATTATTTCATATTGATTTCTAAAACAGGAGTTGGGAAACTGTAGCCAGTGGGCCACTTGTGTCTGTTTTATAAAGTTTTATAGGAACACAGCCACACCCAGTTACTTACTTTTGTCTATGGCTGCTTTAGCACTACAACTACAGAGTTGAGTAGTTGTGACCGAGACCTGATGACACACAATGCCTAAAATATTTACTATCTGGCCTTTCCAAAAAAGTTTCCGTACCCTATTCTAGAAGATACTTTTTCCCTTTCACATCTAAATCTACAATCTATCTGGAATAGATGTTTATACACAGTATAAGTTGGGACAAATTTATTTTTTTAATTAATATCCCATTGGTCCAGCACCATATATTGAAAATTATAATTTTTCTCTATTCTTCTGTAGTGTTGTCTTTGTCATAAATAAATTTCCACAGATCTGTGGGTTTGTTTCAAGTCTTTTTTTTTCTATTTCAGTGTTTGATGTGGTTTGGCTGTGTCCCCACCCAAATCTCATCTTCAGTTGTAGCTCCCATAATTCCTGCATGGGAGCATGGGAGGGACCCAGTGAGAGGTAACTGAATCATGGGAATGGGTCTTTCCCATGCTGTTGTCGTGATAGTAAATAAGTCTCACAAGATCTGATGGTTTTATAAAGGGAATTTTCCCTGCACACTCTTCTTGCCTGATGCCATGTAAGATGTGACTTTGCTCCTCCTTCACCTTCTGCCATGATTGTGAGGCCTCCCCAGCCATGTGGAACTGTGAGTTTGCACCTCACTCATTGCTTCTCAAACCCTCACATTGTGTGCCAAAAAATATTGCAGGACTTTTCCTTAGTTCAGCTAAAAAGGGGGTTCTTTGTCCCATGGCCATGAAAATTCAGACTCACAACTTAAATGGTGAGTAAGACAGGATTTTATTGGGTGTAAAGGGGGAAACACGGGCTCTTGGAAGGCCAGAGTCCCTGCTACAGTGCTTCCCGACCAGGTGTTTGAATCCCAGGTTCCACACAGGAAAAGGAGGAGCCAGGCTCCTTCCTGTGGCAAACATCATGAACTTCTGGAGGCTCCACCTCAGTGGGCAGGCTGGTTGGAGTTTCTCCAGGGAACACCTCCCACCTGGCTGTCTCAAGGGAGTTGGAAAGGAAAGGCAAATAATATTTGGAAATACAAGTTTTGAGATGAAAGAAAAAAGTTTGAATTTTAAAAATTTAAGGTCAGAAGATTTACATAGCAGAGTGAAGGTGGACAGCAGGATTAAAACTGTTCAGCTTAAATATTAGAAAAAAGGCATAAAAGGTATAAAACCTGCATTCTCTATGAACCCTTGGCTAAAGGAGGTGATAACTTGTAACAGATTTCTAACCCCTTCGTAATATCCTTTTTAATAAGGGGAGATCCATCCAGTTTTATTTAGCCATTTTGCTCATGATTCACCTTTGAGATTTTTGTAGATTTTTTTTTTTTTGCCTTGGTATAGAAATATACAATGTAATTGAGAATATAGACCTTGTAAGGCAAATTGCCCTGGGTATAAATTTTACACTTAGTTGGATAAACAGATAAAACATTAGAACAATGGTGAAATATAAAATACTTATATTTTCTTTCAATCCCATTATGTACTTTTCCTAGCTATATATACTGCTAATATTATATCTAAATATATTCATTATGGCTTCCAAAATGTTGACTATTTTTTAAATTTTCACAGCTGATATTCAGAAAATAGCAAAAATGATCAATGATAGTTACTTTGGTTGGCTTATGCTCCTTGGGTTCCCTGGGAAGCCTCAGCTGGAGATGATCATCTCTGGGGTTGTCTTTTTCTTCTATGCAATTTCTTTGATGGGAAATATGGTCCTTATCCTGCTGCCATTACTGGATAAACATCTCCAAACCCCCATATATTTCTTTCTTAGAAATCTGGCTATCTTGGATCTTTGTTACACCACAAATATAGTCCCACAGATGTTGGTCAATGCCTGGGGTAAAGACAAGAAAATCACTTTTGGTGGCTGTGCTTTTCAACTTTTCACTAATGTGACGCTATGCACGGTTGAATGTATGCTTCTGGCTGTGATGTCATATGACCCATTCAATGCTGTCTGCAAGCCTCTGGACTATATGACCATAATGAACCCCCAACTCTGTCAAGGCCTGGTGGCCATGACCTGGTTAATTGGTGTCACTAATTGCATGATACTTTCCCCCTGTCCTGTGAGTCTTCCTCGATGCGGAGACCACCACCTGGATCACTATTTTTGTGAAATATCTGCAATGGTCAAAATTGCATGTGGGGCTACCACAGTCATGGAGGAAACTGTAAGAGTTAAAGAAAGAAGAAAGAAACACGAAACGTGGCTGGCAGTTAAAGACAGGTTTTCCTTAATTAAAACCTGACAGCACTCCTGGCTGATTTCATATATTGGTTTTAGGGTGAGGGGGCTAAGAACATATATTGGTTTTAGGGTGAGGGGGCTTATTACAAGCTTGGAATGTTTATGTGTGTGGAGAAGTTTATGGCGGGGTTGGAATCTCTCTGGGAAGAGGGGAGGTTATCTTGGGGCAGACATCTTTCTGGCCTGGAGGGGGGTTATCTCTGGGCTAGCATCTTCCCAGCTTGAGAGGGCTTATCTAGAGGCTAGCATGACTCTGGTCGGGGAGGAGTTTGGAAGGTTTCTGGTTGGGATGTTATTTGTGGTTTATGGTCGTGCTGACCTTAGCCATTAGGCTGAGGCCCTTTGGATTAGGTGGTTTTTTATTAAAATGAACTATAGAATAAGGGGCTTGTCCAAGATGGTGATGCTCCTGCTCTGTCAGAAACCTTATTTGCATTGTGTTGTTGTTGTTGTTTTCATTTTCCTTGCATCACTTCTTCTCATTCTTGTGTCATATGGCTTCATTGCTGTGGCTGTACTCAAGATCAAGTCTGCAGCAGGAAGACAAAAAGCATTTGGGACCTGTTTCTCCCATCTCATTGTGGTATCCATCTTCTATGGGACTGTTAGATATATGTATATAGAGCCAGGAAACAGTCCATCTCAGGATGAGGGCAAACTTCTCCATATATTTTACTCCATTGTTACTCCCACCTTGAACCCATCCCACTAAGGAATAAGGAGTTCAAGTGGGCCATGAAAAGGCTTATTGGAAAAGAAAAAGGTTCTGGAGACACAATAGGTCACTAACATCTTTTTACAAGAAATTCCTGGCCGGGCACGGTGGCTAACGCCTGTAATCCCAGCACTGTGGGAGGCCGAGGCAGGGGGATCACAAGGTCAGGAGATCGAGACCCTCCTGGCTAACATGGTGAAACCCCATCTCTACTAAAAATACAAAAAATTCGCACCTGAAGTCCCAGCTACTCTGGAGGCTGAGGCAGGAGAATGGCGTGAACCCGGGAGGCGGAGCTTGCAGTGAGCCGCGATCGCTACACTGCACTCCAGCCTAGGCGACAGAGCGAGACTCCGAATCAAAAACAAACAAAAAATAAAAATAAAAAAAGAAATTCCCAATAAAGAAATTATCTTTGTCTAACCTTTAAATTATAGTCAACTTATTTTAGTAGTAGTCATCATCTGAAAAAGAAAATACCTAAAAATTTTGCTTGTATTTTAGTATCAATGTCCCTCATTGTCAAGGGTTCATTCTTTAAAAAATTAAAAATGTCTTTCAAAAACACTACTTATTATCTTGGATGATTCATCTACAGTTGTGGCAACAAAACAGGTTCCGTAAAGTCTAAGGGTTATGTCAACTGGGGTACGGGGGAGCATTTTATAAAGATTAAATTCAGATTATAATTTATATTATTTAATAATTTTAAATATAATTAAACTATTATACTATAACAAAAATTCATTAATTCATGTGTTAACTATGAGTTTTGGCTATAATTCACCATTCATCTGTTCCTATTAAGATTAAAACATTTTTGTTTAGATTCCAAATACTCCTGCCATCTCTACCTATTTTAAGACATATTAGGTTACTGGTCTAAAATATACTTCTATTTGTAGCTATTTGCTGCAGGAATCTGGACTTTCTCAAAATTTTGCTACTAAAATAAAATGTAGGACTAGATTGGATATGGATGTTGATATGGTTACAATGTTAATAAATCATTCTTAGTTTTAAATTTTTGTGTTCATTCAACAACTTCACTAATCTTTTTTATATAAGTTGGTAGTAAGTAAACATTTTGTATTCATTAATTCTTTTTATAAGGCCAGCATAAGCTAGACTTAAAAACATTACAAGGATTTACAAAAAAATAAAAAATGTTTATCAGTATCTTTCATAAACACAGTTGCAAACATCCCTAAATATTAACAAATCAAATATATAAAGGAGGTCCATTAAGAGAGGCAATGTGTGTGTGTGTGTAAGAACTATTCAGAATATAAAAAGAATTTCTACAAATCAGTAAGAAAAAACACAAACAACGTGATAGAACAATCACTTCACAAAAGAGGATAGCCATATGGCCAACACATGAAAATGTGCCCAACTTCACCAATCATCAGGGAAAATTATAACAACAAAGAGATACGGTTAAACACAAATACTGCTCCATAATAACATGGTCTATTAACAAAAAAAGATATGCAGTTTCTTACGATATAGATGAGAACTTTAAGAGTATGTTTGGGGGTGGATGTCAAGGAATATGAAATACAGAGCTTGAATGAACTGAATTTAATGACATGAGTGCTATCACCCAGAGCACAGGATACAAGCATTGGCTCAAACTCCTGAAAGTGTTATTGATCTTCTTTCACATTAGCTCACTGAAGCTTGAACTCAGAGATAGCCTATAGCTAATGAGGTTGAAAAGCTAGAATTTCCACAGTACCTTGTAAAATAAGGAATCAGTAGTCAATAGAGATTTTGTAATCTAATACAGTATGGCCATCTGCCCTCTGTACATAAGACCCTGTGCTATAAGATTGGAAGACATTTTCTTCCCTATAGCATTAAGAAATGGATCAGTGAGGAGGGCATCAGTGGTCTTAAAATGCTCTGTGGCATCTGAATTCTTTGGTGCAGAGCTGATGGTGGGGAATGAAACTGAAATTGGATTATATGGTCTTGAGAAAAATGATAATTCTGGAAAATTAAATGCCAGGAAGTGACACCATCATAGACAAAGTGGAAGTAGTTACTACAAGTAAGTCACATTGACTAGGGTATTGTGACCTACAGGGACCTGTAGTGATACACAGTTTATCAAACGGTACTTAAAAACACAATATTTGGTAACCTACCACTGTATTGTGAATGTCTGTGTCCCCCAAAACATGTTAAAACCTAATCACCAGTGTGATGGTGTTAGCAGGTAGGCCCTTGGGAGGTGATTAAATCATGAGGGCACAGCCTTCTTGAATGGAATTCATGCCTTTATAGAAGAGGCCTCAGAGAGCTGCTTTGTCTCTTCCACCATGTGAAGACACAGTGAGAAGACACCATCTGTGAACCATAAAGGGGCCTTCACCAGACACCAATCTGCCAGAACCTTAATGTCAGACTTCCTAACTTCTAGAACTATGATAAGTAAATTTTTTTTGTTTATTAGCTACCCAGTTTATGGTATTTTGTTATAGCAACCCAAATGGACTAAGATACCTACTAAGATGTTAGCTGGAGTATATTAGCAGAAAAAATTCTAGGTGTGGAGACAGAAACATAACTTGAAACAATATAATAGGGATTCATGGCTTTTTACCCAGTTTCCATATTAAGCCAGTTTGCAGATTCAGATTTTCTCATCTGAGAGGTAGAATAATCCCTTTATGAATAGATCTGGCAATGAAGCAACATAATATTAAAGCTTTTTCCCTCAAGTCTTGTCTACAGAGACATTCCAGGCACTTAACTAGCTAATCATCCCTGAAGAAGGGGGTTATTAGATATTGTTGCTAGTCCCTGGTGATCTGGTTGCTTTGACAAATTCCTAGTGTCTGAAAATGAAAGACATTGGGTTGAGTTTTAGCTAGTTCACTTTCATTCTGAACAGTTAATTATTTTATTGTGTATTTCCTTGAAGAGAAAAAACTCTAAAAGTAATTTTGCTGTACGAACTACTATGAAATTTATCTGAAACGTTTTAATTGCTTCACATAGCATTGGGAGAAGTTAAAATCTAAAGTAACAGAATCTTTTGGGATAGGAACAAAGTGAGATCATCAATGCCAGTAATTCCATTCACTTCATAATGAGATCCCTTGGGCCCTGCCCTTCCCTCTGGTAAATAACTGCTTATGTGAAAATCTCCCTTGCTCCTCCTTTGACTTTAAACATCAAATATGAGTCTCTTATTCAGAATCCTTGAGAATTTTCCCATTATCCAGAAAGACAGATAGCAAGGACAAACACAACAACTCATCAATTTCTCAGAAAGTAGGAATGAACTGCCTGAAACATGAATAACTACAGATAAAAGCACAATCCAGCGTCAACATTCCCAATGTGTGTTCCATTTTTCCTTTCTCACACCTTTAGAATATAAAAGCCGTAATGCACATGATGCTTCAGAAAAATAAATGTCAAGTTGTATCTTAGTTTTAACTTGGAAGTTGAGGAGAAATGCAGTAAAAATATAGGAAACCAAAGCCCTTGAAAGTAATTTATAGTGAATTGTCTGCTTTCAAGAAGAATAACCAAACATCTGAGAAAAGAAAACTTCTCATCTTTTTATTTGAACTGATACGTTTTTTGTTAGAAGAAAAAATTTATGAGCAAACCATTAGTGAGAAAGTGAGTTTAGCAGTAAATAGCTAGTAGTAGAACTTACACAAACAAATTTAAGCCACAAAGAGTGCATTGATCTAGTAGACTCTAATAGGTTTTGTTTTCTTTTTTAATTTGACTAAGACAAGGATCTAAACCAAAATGCATATTTTTCAAGAATCTTTTTTTATTTTACTTTTTTAAATCACATCTATTTTTAACTCACTAAATTGTTTGACATATTGTAAGAAAATCATTTGGTAATGATTTTAATTTTGTGAGTATAATATTGTGCAGTCAGAAACTGCAGCAGCTGGAAAGTTTTAAGTTGTAGAATCAAAGCACCTCAGACAATGGTAGACACTGTATATGATAAAACACACATCCTTTAATCACATTAATGCTTTGGGAATTATATAAAAAGATATGTCCTTTACTATGTTGTTTGTCAAACCTAAGTAACAGAATCAAAATAAATTGCTTAATTATTTTCAAATTTTAAGTTATTTTGAATAATTCAAATTTTGTTACATATATAAAGAATATATTTATTAGAGTATAAAGTGAAAATTAAATATGTAACTCTTCTAACATGAGGCACATCACCCTCCAAAAACCAATAATGTCGCAGTAAGACAAATTATGCTGCATTATATCATTCAAATGAAATACGATATATTCAATGCTCTACCACTTTTAATTACGAATATAATTTGACCCTGTTTCTATATGAGTATATGCAAACTTGTGTAATTATGTTAAATGTATATAATATTCAGTTAACTAGCTCGTTCTTGATGATCATGTGTGCTGTTTCCAATTTTTTACATGAAAGTAATGTTTCACAAATATTTTAGGATGCATGCAGAATAAACTCCTAGAAATGAAATTAATCAAAGTTAGTTCAAAATATTTTTATGTACATTTTTATTGTGAAAGATAACAGCAAATTGTCTTACAAAAAGAATTTATCCTTCTCCACATAGATTATGAAACTGATCATTTTCTAAACATTTGCAACATGGTTGGTTCCTAACAGTCACTTAAATATAAGCCATTTCAGGACGAAAAAATGCCTCAACTTTTCAATTTCAACTTACTAATTAGAATAGGATTGAAATTATTTTCATATGTGTTTATTTCTTTTTTTCCAAAATGTCTTTTAGGATATTTGCCCATTTTTTGTAGAAACATTTTTAATTTTGGGGAAATAAAAAGTCAAAAGCTATTTTTATTAAGAAAAGCAGTATTTTTCTGCTATGTATATTAATGGTTTCGTTTGGGTCCTATCGAACCACGTGGTTTATCCATCATTGAATTTTCTATTAAAATTTATGATATATCCTTTTTCTCAAATTTTGTTTTGATAATATCTGAAAAATAATAACATGTTCATATTTTGATTTATAAATACTTTTAATCAGTTATGATTTTTAAAGAAATGTTCATAAATTATAATGGCACTTCCATAATGGTGGTGTGGCTCATTGCCCTGTAAAACAACCATGACTGATACAATTTTTTTAATTCCAAGTCTCTGAAAATTGTCTTAAGAGAAAACAACAAATGAAGTAATACTTATTCAAGATACTCTACTAAATCTCACTAAGAAGAGCAAGAGTCTATGGCACTTGAGCCACAGCCTGCTTTCCTACCCAGCTCAGTGTGATGGAAGCTCCACTCTGGACAGGTGTGGCCAAGAAGAAAAGGATTCCTTTCCCCTCAGCTCCCAGTCAAGGAATATAGTATCTCACTGAGAGGGGCAGAATGCCAGCATTTCTTATCACTTTCACTTCTGAGTTGTCAAGGCTACATTCCCAGAGATCTAAACAAAAGACTGGGGCTACCTTCCTGCACTCCATACATAAGGTGGATACCCTATGCCAAGCATGTTGAGCCAAGAATACTGGAACTCTTATCACCTTTGCCCTAGCTCACTCATAAACAGAGGTCCAACACTGGGAGAGGCAAGCAAAGAAAAGTAAAAGCTACCACTCTTCAGTGCACTGCCCTTGGAACAGTGGCATAGAAGGTTTTGTCTAGGGACAGGGGAAGAACAGAACATTCAAAAGCTCTGTCCAAAGAAACTGACTGTATTTGAAGCAGAGTGTTGAAAGTTCAAGCCTAAGGGTACATTAAAAAACAATGAATATTTGGTGCTAAGGAGTTAAGACAAGGCTGAGACTCTATGAGACAACAAGCTAGGCCATAAAACAGTGAGTTTACCAGTGACAACCAGGGAAAGAGCTTTTCTGGGGTCAGAACAAATCTCAAAAAGTGACCTCAAGAACTACCCCTGCAAAATTAGATCACACTGTGGAGCAATTTATGTCCCCAGGGCATTATCAAAACCAATAGAGCACCCAGCCAGCAATTAATGGATCCTCCCAGCTGAGTATAATACCAAATGACGAAGACTGGTTAACAAAAATCAGCAAATGACATTGCAAAGACAAGACATCCAAAGCCCTGCTCAAACTATTCTCATCCCAGGTTGTTTATGTCCATGCCCAAGGCTGTGCTCTCTGAAGGGTAACACCAGAGGCTTCACACTGTGGAGGAAATTTACTAAAATAGCCTGGCCAAGTCACTAACAAACAAAAAATAAAACAAGACCCAGGACGGGGAGTCAGTATACAAAGTTACTACAATGTCTAGTTTTAATTTAGTAACATTATATTACTCAAATGTCTAGTTTTCAACAAAAAAACTATGAGACTTGTAAAAAAATAGGAAAGCATGACTGATACACAAGTAAACGAGCAGACAATAGAAACTGCCAGTGAGAGGCCCCAAATGTCAGATTTATCATAGATCAAAACAACCAATATAAATATGTTCAAGGAAATAAAATCATGCTTAAAGAAGTAAAAGAAGGTATGATAAGAGTGTCTCATCAAATAGAGACTACTAAAAAGGGAGATAAAGTATTTTAAAAATGAAACAAATGGAAACTTTAGAGTTGAAAAGCACAGTGAAAACTTCACTAGAGGAGCTCAACAGTAGATTTGAACTGATGGAAGAAAGAATCAGTGAACTTGAAGATAGGCTGATAGAGATTATGCAATCTGAGCAACAAGAAAAAAATAAAATGAACAGATCCTCAGACAAGTATGGAATACCACTGATGACACCAAAGTACACATAATGGAAGTATCAAAGGAGCAGAGAGAAGCAAGTTAAAAAAATATTCAAAGAATTAATTGCTGAAACATTAAAGTTGATGAAAAAAATTATATATCTAAAAAGCTCCTTTCTCTAAATAGGATTAATGTAAAAATATTCACATTCAGTTGCATCATAATAGGAACACTAAAAGCTAGAGTCAAAGAGACAGTTTTGAAAGCAGCAAGAGGAAAATGACTCATCATGTACAAGAGAACCTCAGTAAGATTATCATCTGACTTCTCATCAGAAATACTGGAGACTAGAAGGCAGTGGGGATGACAGCCAAAGTTCTAAAAGAACGTTGAACCAAGAGTCTTATATCCAGGAAAACTATCCCTCAAAAATGAACCACATTTATTTTTTTTTCTGAGACGAAGTCTCACTCTGTCACCAGGCTGGAGTGCAGTGGCGCAATCTTGGCTCACTGCAACCTCTGCCTCCCAGGTTCAAGTGATTCTCCTGCCTCCGCCTCCAAAGTAGCTGGGACTACAGGTGCGCACCACCACTCCCAGCTAATTTTTTAATTTTTAGTAGTTGGGTTTCATTATGTTGCCCAGGATGGTCTCGATCTCTTGACCTCCTGATCTGCCCGCCTCGGCCTCCCAAAGTGCTGGGATTACAGGCGTGAGCCACCACACCCAGCCAACCACATTTTTTAAATCCAGTCCACCATTGATGGCAATCTAAGTTGATTCCATGTCTTTGCTATTGTGAATAGTGCTACAGTTAACATATACATGCATATGTCTTTATGGCTAAATGATTTATATTCCTTTGGATATATAAGTAATGGGATTGCTGAGTCAAATAGTAGTTATGTTTTAAGTTTTTTGAGAAATCTCCGACTGCTTTTCACAGTGGCTGAACTAATTTACATTCCCACCAGTAGTGTATAAGCATTCCCTTTTCTTTGCTTGTTGATTTAAGTTCTTTATAGATTCTGGATATTAGACTTTTGTCAGATATACTTTGCAAATATTTTGTCCCATCCTATAGGTTGTCTGCATATCCTGTTGATAGTTTCTTTTGCTGTGCAGAAGCTCTTTAGTTTAATTAGGTCATACTTGTGAATTTTTGTTTTGTTGCAATTGCTTTTGGAGTCTTCATTATAAAGTATTTGTCAGGGCCGATGTACAGAATGGCATTTCCTAGGTTTTCTTCTAGGATTTTTACACTTTTAGGTTCTACAGTTTAGTCTTTAACCCATCTTGAGTTGATTTTTGTATATAGTGAAAAGTAGTTGTCCAGCTTCGATATTCTGATTATGGCCGTCCAGTTTTTTCAGCGCCATTTACTGAATACAGAGTCATTCCCCATTGCTTATTATTGTTGGCTTTGTCAAAGATCAGATTACTGTAAGTGTGAGGCTTTATTCCTGGGTTCTCTAACTGATTCCATTGATCTATGAGTCTGTTTTTGTACCAGTACCATGTTGTTTTAATTATGGTAGCCTTGCAGTATAGCTTGAAGTCAGGTAATGTGATGCCTCCAGCTTTGTTTTGTGTGTGTGTGTGTGTGTGTGTGTGTGTGTTTGGTTTTGTGTTTTTTGTTTGTTTGTTTTTGCTTAGGGTTGCTTTGACTATTCAGGCTTTTTTGTTGTTGCTGTTTGATATAAATTTTAGAATCATTTTTTTTCTAATTCTGTGAAAAATGTTATTGGTAGATTGCTAGTGTGAACCCAGAAAGTCTGAGACAGGTCTCCATTAATTTAGAAAGTTTATTTTGCCAAGGTTGAGGAAGCACTTGTGACAGCCTCAGGAAGTCCTGATGACATGTGCCCAAGGTGGTCAGGGCACAGCTTGGTTTTACACATTTTAGGGAGACATGAGACATCAATCTATATATGTAAGAAGTACAGTGGTTTGGTCTGGAAAGGTGGGACAACTTGAAGCAAAGGAAAGAAGACTCAAAGCAGAGAGGGAGCTCCCAGGTTACACTAGGTGATACACAAACGATTACATTCTTTTGAGTTTCTGATTAGCCTTTCCAAAGGAGGTAATTAGATATGATTCTCTCTCACTGAGCAGAGGGTTGACTTTGAATAGAATGGGAGGCAGGTTTGCCCTAAGCGGTTTCCAGCTTGAGTTTTCCTTAGTGATTTGGGGGGCTCAAGACATTTTCCTTTCACACTAGTAGTACCATTGAATCTGTAAATTGCTTTGGGCAGTATGCCCATTTAACAATACTGATTCTTCCTATCCATGAGCATGAAAAGCTGTTCCATATGTTTATGTTATCTCTGGTTTTCAGCAGTGTTTTTTAATTCTCATTGCAGAGATCTTTCACTTCCCTGGTTAGCTGTATTCCTAGGTATTTCATTCTTTCTGTGGCTATGGTAAATGGATTGCATTTTTATTTGGCTTTCAGCTTGGATGTTATTGGTGTATATAAATGCTACTAATAGTTGCACATTCATTGTGTATTCTGAAACTTTTCTGAAATCGTTTATCAGATCTAGGAGCCTTTTGGCAGAGAGTGGAGTTTTCTAGGTATATAATCATATCATCTCTGAAGAGAGATCGTTTGACTTTCCCTCTTCCTATTTGGATGACTTTTATTTCTTTCTCTTGCCTGATTTATTTCTCTTGCCTGATTGCTCTGGCTAGGACTTCCAGTACTATTTGGAATAGGAGTAATGAGAGGGGACATCCTTGTCTTGTTCTGGTTCTCAAGGGGAATAATTCCAGCTCTTGCCCATGTAGTATGATGTTGGCTGCAGGTTTGTCATACATAGCTCTCAATATTTTGAGGAATGTTTCTTCAATGTCTGGTGTGTTGAGGGTTTTTAACATGAAGGGATGTTGAATTTCATCAAAAGCCATTTCTGTCTGTTGAGATTATCACATGGTTTTTGCTTTTAGTTCTGTTTATGTAGTGAATCACATTTATTGATGTGTGGGTGATGAACCAACCTCGCATCCCAGAAATAAAGCCTACTTGATTGTGGTGGATTAAGTTTTTGATATGCTGCTGGATCCAGTTTGCTAGTATTTTGCTGAGGATTTTTGCACCCATGTTCATCAAGCATATTGGCCTAAAATTTTTTTTTTGTTGTGCCTCTGCTAGGCTTTGGTATCAGAGTGATGCTGGCCTCATAAGATGAGTTAGGGAGTGTAAGGCCTCTGAGACCAAGCTAAGCCATCATATCCCCTGTGACCTGCACATATACATCCAGATGGCCTGAAGCAACTGAAGAACTACAAAAGAAGTGAAAATAGCCAGTTGCTGCCTTAACTTATGACATTCCACCATTGTGATTTGTTCCTGCCCCACCCTAACTGATCAATTGACCCTGTGACATTCCTTTTCCCGGACAATGAATCTCAGGAGCTCCCCATTGAGCACCTTGCGACTGCTGCACCTGCATGCAAGAGAACAACCCCCTTTAACTATAATTTTCCACTACCTACCCAAATCCTATAAAACTGCCCCACCCCTATCTCCCTTTGCTGACTTCTGTTTTGGACTCATTCTGCCTATGCCCAGGTGATTAAGAAGCTTTATTGCTCACACAAAGCCTGTCTGGTGGTCTCTTCACGTGGACACACATAACATTTGGTGCCGAAGACCTGGGACAGGGGGACTGCTCCAGGAGACCAGCCCCCTGTCCTCACCCTCACTCCGTGAGGAAATCCACCTACAACCTCAGGTCCTCAGACCAGCCCAAGGAACATCTCACCAATTTCAAATCAGGTAAGCAGTCTCTTCACTCTTCTCCAGCTTCTCTCGCTACCCTTCAATCTCCCTGTTCTTCCAATTCCAGTTCTTTTTCCTCTCTAGTGGAAACAAAGGAGACACATTTTATCCGTGAACTCAAAAACTCCGACGTCGGTCACGGATATGGGAAGATGGTCTTCCCTCGGTGTCTGATCATAGCGGGGATGCCTGCCTTGATCATTCATCTACATTCCATTGGTGTCTGATCACCACAGGGATGCCTGCCTTGATCATTCACCCACATTCCATTGGTGTCTGATCACTGCTGGGACGCCAGCCTTGATCATTCAATCATTCACCCACATTCCACTGGTGTCTGATCACCGTGAGGATGCCTGCCTTGGTCATTCACCCACATTCCCTTGGTGACAAGTCAGTTGTGGGGACACCTGCTTTGGCTGCTCACCCACATTACAGCCCACGGCTACTCACCCCCACCTTCTCTGTGTCTCTACTTTTCTCTTTAAACTCACCTCCTTCACTATGGGCAACCTTCTGCCCTCCATTCCCCTTTCTTCTCCCTTAGCCTGTGTTCTTAAAAACCTAAAACCCCTTCGACTAACACCTGACCTAAAACCTAAACATCTTATTTTCTTCTGTAATACCACTTGGCCCCAATACACACTCAACAATAGTTTCAAGTGGCCAGAGAATGGCACTTTTGATTTGTCTATCCTACAAGATCTAGATAATTTTTGTTGTAAAATGGGCAAATGGTCTGAGGTGCCTGATGTCCAGGCATTCTTTACACATCGGTCCCTCCCTAGTCTCTGCTCCCATTGCAACTCGTGCCAAATATTTCTTCTTTCTCTCCTATGTGTTCCTTCAGTCTCCACCCCAAGCTCTGAGTCCTTTGAATCCTCTTTTTCTACAGATCCATCTGACCTTGCCCCTCCTCCCCAGGCTGCTCCTCACCAGGCCGAGCCAGGTCCCAATTCTTCCTCAACCTCCACTCTCCCACCCTATAATGCTTCTATCACCTCACCTCTTCACACCCAGTCTGGCTTACAGTTTCTTTCTGTAAGTAGCTCTCCCCGACCTGCCCAACAATTTCATTTTAGAGAGGTGGCCGGAGCTGAAGGCATAGTCAAGATTAATGCTCCTTTTTTCTTTATCTGACCTCTCCCAAATTGGTTAGCGTTTAGGCTCTTTTTCATCAAATATAAAAACCCAGCCCAGTCCGTGGCTGGTTTGGCAACAACCCTTAGATGCTTTACCGCCCTAGACCCAGAGGGACCAGAAGGCCATCTTATTCTCAATATGTATTTTATTACCCAATCCACTCCCAACATTAGAAAAAGCTCCAAAAATTAGATTCCGCCCTCAAACCCCACAACAGGACTTAATTAACCTTGCCTTCAAGGTGTACAATAATAGAGAAGAGGCAGCCAAGCGGCAATGTATTTCTGGATTGCAATTACTTGCCTCCGCTCTGAGAGAAACCCCAGCCACATCTCCAGCACACAAGAACTTCAAAACGCCTAAACCACAGTGGCCAGGCATTCCTCCAGGACCTCCTCCCCCAGGATCTTGCTTCAAGTGCCGGAAATCTGGCCACTGGGCCAAGGAATGCCCGCAGCCCAGGATTCCTCCTAAGCCGTGTCCTATCTGTGCAGGTCCCCACTCGAAATCGGACTGTCCAGCTTGCCCAAAAGCCACTCCCAGAGCCCCTGGAACTCTGCCCCAAGGCTCTCTGACTGACTCCTTCCCAGATCTTCTTGGCTTAGTGGCTGAAGACTGATGCTGCCTGATTGCCTCAGAAGCCTCCTGGACCATCACAGACACTTCAGGTAACTTACAGTGGAGGTAAGTCCCTTCTTAATTGATACGGAGGCTACCCACTCCACATTACCTTCTTTACAAAGGCCTGTTTCCCTTGCCTCCATAACTGTTGTGGGTATTGATGGTCAGGCTTCTAAACCTCTTAAAACTCCCCCACTCTGGTGCCAACTTGGACAACATTCTTTTATACACTCCTTTTTAGTTATCCCCACCTGCCCAGCTCCCTTATTAGGTCAAGACATTTTAACTAAACTATCTGCTTCTCTGACTATTCCTGGGCTACAGCCACACCTCATTGCCACCCTTTTCCCCAGTTCAAAGTCTCCTTCACATCCTCCCCTTATGTCTCCCTACCTTAATCCACACGTATGGGATACCTCTACTCCTACTTTGGCAACCGATCATGCACCCCTTATCATCCCATTAAAACCTAATCACCCTTACCCTGCTCAACGCCAATATCCCATCCCACAGCAGGCTTTAAAAGGGTTAAAGCCTGTTATAACTCACCTGTTACAACATGGCCTCTTAAAGCCTACAAATTCTCCTTACAACTCCCCTATCCTACCCCTCCAGAAACTGGACAAGTCTTACAGGTTGGTTCAGGATCTTCACCTTGTTAATCAAATTGTCCTTCCCATCCATCCTATAGTGCCAAACCTGTACACCCTCCTATCTTCAATAACCCTTTCCACAACTCACTATTCTGTTATCGACCTCAAAGATGCTTTCTTTACTATCCCCTTGCATCCCTCCTCCCAGCCTCTTTTTGCCTTTACTTGGACTGACCCTGACACCCACTAATCCCAACAACTCACCTGGACTGTTCTGCCCCAAGGCTTCAGGGACAGCCCACACTACTTTGGCCAGGCCCCTTCTCATGATCTGCTTTCTTCTTCCCCATCTGCCTCTCACCTTATTCAATATTTTGATGATCTCCTTTGCAGCCCCTCTTACTAATCTTCCCAGCAGGACACTATCCTGCTTCTTCAACATCTCTACTGAAAGGGGTACCAAGTATCCCCCTCCAAGGCACAAATTTCTTCTCCTAGTGTTACCTATCTCAGTATAATCCTCCATCAACATACATGTGCCCTTCCTGCAGACCGTATTCAGTTAATCTCCCAGACCCCAATCCCCACCACCAAACAACTCCTTTCCTTCTTAGGCATTGTTGGATATTTCCAACTCTGGATACCAGGCTTTGCTATTCTAACCAAAACCACTTTACAAGCTCACAAAGGATAACTTAACTAATCCCATAGATCCTAAGTCTTTTCCCCATTCTTCCTTTCACTTTCTCAAAAAGGTCCTGGAGACAGCTCCTACACTTGCACTCCCCAACTCGTCCCATCCCTTTTCCTTACACACAGCGGAAATACAAGTCTGTGCTGCCGGAGTCCTCACACAGGAGCCAGGCTCACAACCTGTTGCCTTTCTATCAAAGAAACTTGACCTCACAGTTCTGGGCTGGCTCTGCATGGGGCGGCAGGCACTGCTTTAATACTTCTAGAGGCCTTCAAAATCACAGGCTATGCTCCACTTACCCTTTACAGTTCTCACAACCTTCAAGCATTAATATCCTCCCCATACCTTTCACATTTATTGTCTGCCCCTCAACTCCTCCAGCTCTATTCACTCTTTGTTAAAACTCCAACAGTAACTATTATCCATAGGCCTGATTTCAACCCACTTTCTCACTTAGCACCCAGCACAAGTCCTGAACCACCTGACTGTATTTCCCTAATAAACATAGCATCCTCCCCCGTCCTCATATTCCTATTCTGCCAATTCCAAACACAGACCACACTTGGTTTATTGATGGCAGTTCTTCTAAACCCAATCAATTTTCACCAGCTAAAGCTAGATATGTTGTCGTGTCCCACACCGCTACTATTGAAGCTGCTGCACTTCCCTCCACCACTTCCGAATAAGCTGAACTGATTGCTTTAACTACCGCATTCTCTCACTAAAGGAATGCACATTGACATTTATACTGACTCCAGATATGCTTTCTATATCCTCCATAACCATGCTGCCTTCTGGGCTGAAAGAGGCTTCCTTACCACACAAGGCTCTTCCATTATCAATGCCTCCCTAACAAAGGCCCTCCTTAAGGTTGCTTTCCTGCCAGCCAAGGCTGGAGTCATTCATTATAAAGGGCACCAGAAACCTACTGATCTTATTGCAAAAGGAAATGCCTATGCCAACAGGACGGCAAAAGAAATAGCTGATGCCTCCACATCCACTAATATTCCAGCCCTCACTCCAGAGGTCCAGTATTTCTCCTTCTCCTCCAACACTCCCACCTACTTTTCTGAAAACCTGCTCTACCAGTCTTTTCCAACTCAAGGCAAGTGGTTCTTATAAATCATGGAAAATTCATTCTTCCTGCCTCACAAGCTCAGTCCATTCTTTCTTCCCTTCATGACCACTTCCATGTGGGATACAAGCCTGTGGCTTGATTCCTGCAGCTCCTCATCTCCTTCTCTTCATGGAAGTCCATCCTTAAGACCATAACCTCTCAATCCTCTGTCTGCCATGCCACCAGCCCCCAAGGCTTTCTCAGGCCTCCTCCTTTTCCTGAGCATCAGGCTTGTGGATTTACTTCAACTCATGATTGGCAGTTAGACTTTACTCATATGCCCCATGTCCGTAAATTTAAGTATCTCCTGGTTTGGATCGACACCTTCACCGGATGGCTCGAGGACTTTCCCACTAGTTCCAAAAAGCCTATTGCAGTCATTTCTTCCCTTCTAACAGATATAATTCCCTGATTTGGCCTCCCTACTTCTATTCAATCTGACAATGGTCCAGCTTTTATTAGTCAAATCACCCAAGCTGTCTCTCAGGTTCTTGGTATTCAGTGGAAACTTCATACCCCTTACTGTCCTCAATCTTCAGGAAAGGTAAAATGGACTAATGCTCTTTAAAAAACACACCTCACCAAGCTCAGCCTCTAACTTAAAAAGGACTGGACAGTACTTCTACCACTTGCCTTTCTCAGAATTAGAGCCTGCCCTCGAGATGCTACAGGGTACAGTCCATTTGAACTTTTATATAGACACACTTTCTTGCTCAGCCCCAATCTTATTCCAGACACCAGCCCTCTGGGCAACTATCTTCCAGTCCTCCAGCAGGCTAGACAGGAAATTCGCCAGGCTGCTAATCTTCTCTTGCCTACTCCAGATTCCCAGCCATATGAAGACACCCTAGCTGGATGATCGGTTCTTGTTAAGAGTCTGACCCCTGAAACTCTACAGCCTCGATGGAACGGACCCTACCTAGTCATCTATAGCACCCCAACTTCCGTCCATCTACAGGAATCTCCCCATTGAGTTCACCATTACAGAATAAAGCTGTGTCCATTGGACAGCCAGCCAGATCTCTCCTCTTCCTCCTGGAAGTTGCGAGTACTCTCCCCTACTTCCCTTAAAACTCATTCGCATTTCTAAAGAACAGTAATAACCCTTATAAGCCTAACACATCCTTTCATTTTTATTAGGTCTGTTCTTCCTTGCCTTACTCTCTACAACAGGGTTTTATGCAGTCACACCCGCCCCCACTTCTTGGACTGCAACTCACAAGCTTTTTCATCCCTGCTATTTTCCAATTCACCATTCTCACCTACTCATAAATGCCCTGCTCTTGTTTACACTGCCAGTTTCCACTTTTCCTCCAAACCATCACAGCTGATATCTCATGGTGCTATCCCCAAACTGCCACTCTCGACTCCCTCTTGGAGTGGATAGATGATCTTTGCTGGCAGGGCACACTCCAATATTTTCTGCCTCCACTATTGCTCTTGGAACTGGAATAGCAGGCAATTCAACCTCTGCCACAACCTTCTGTAGCCTCTCTAATGACTTCTCTGCTAGCATTGCAGACATATCACAATCTTTATCAGTCCTTCAGGCGCAGGTTGACTCTTCAGTTGCGGTTGTCCTCCAAAACCATGAGGCCTTGACTTACTCACTGCTGAAAAAGGGAGACTCTATATTTTTAAATGAAGAGTATTGTTTTTACCTAAATCAATCTGGCCTGGTATACGACAACCTAAAAAAACTCATGGATAGAGCCCAAAAACTCACCAACCAAGCAAATAATTACACTGAACCCCCTTGGGCACTCACTCTCTAATTGGATGTCCTGGGTCCTCCAAATTCTTAGCCCTTTAATACCTGTTTTTCTCCTTCTCTTATTCAGACCTAGTGTCTTCCATTTAGTTTCTCAGTTCATACAAAACTGCATCCAGGCCATCACCAATCATTCTATACAACAAATGCTCCTTCCAACAACCCCACGATATCACCCCTTACCACAAAATGTTTCTTCAATTTAATCTCTCCCACTCTAGGTTCCCATGCCACCCCTAATCCTGCCTGAAGCAGCCCTGAGAAACATTGCCCATTATCTCTCCATACCACCCCCCCCAAAATTTTTGCTGCCCCCAACACATCACCACTATTTTGTTTTGTTTTTCTTATTAATATAAGAAGACAGTAATGTCAGGCCTCTGAGCCCAAGCTAAGCCATCATATCCCCTGTGACCTGCACATATACATCCAGATGGCCTGAAGCAACTGAAGAACCATAAAAGAAGTGAAAATAGCCAGTTCCTGCCTTAATTGATGACATTCCACCACTGTGATTTGTTCCAGTCCCACCCTAACTGAGCATTGACCTTGTGACACTCCTTCTCCTGGACAGTGAATCTCAGGAGCTCCCCACTGAGCACCTTGTGACCCCTGCCCCTGCCTGCAAGAGAACAACCCCCTTTAACAGTAATTTTCCACTACCTACACAAATCCTAGAAAACTGCCCCACCCCATCTCCCTTTGCTGACTCCTTTTTCGGATTCAGTCTGCCTGCACCCAGGTGATTAAAAGCTTTATTGCTCACACAAAGCCTGTTTGGTGGTCTCTTCACATGGACATGTATAACATGGAGGAGTAACTTCTCCTCTATTTTTTGGAATAGTTTCAGTAGAATTGGTACCAGCACTTCTTTATATGTCTAGTGGAATTCAGCTGTGAATTTGCCTGGTACAGGGCTTTTTCTGATTTGTAAGTTTTTAAATTACTGATTCAATTTCAGAACTCATTATTGGTCTGTTCAGGGTTTTACTGTCTTCTTGGTTGAATCTTGAAAGGTAGTGTGTTTCTAGGAATTCAGCCATTTCTTTTAGGTTTTCTAGTTTTTGTGCATAGAGGTGCTCGAAATAGTCTCTGATGGATTTTTGGGGTCAGTGATATTTCTTTAAAATGTACTGCTACCATTGATTGTCATAACCAGTTTGTAGGATTCATGTTTTCCATTTATTCTTATCTCAAAAGTAGGGTAAACTGATCTCTGAATACACAGATGATAAAAGAGTAATCATAAAACTAAACTATTAATGTGTCCAATAATAATTATGGTAACAGAGATAACGTAACTTTGAAAGCAACTCATGTTCAAGTCAGAAGTGAAAATAAATACATTTTTACATGAACCAGTAAAACATTAAACATAATATTTAGTGGGGGAAAAAAGAAATATAGCATTTATTTGTGTCGGGAACATGCTAAGTCTTTCTTCTAGCTATTTTGAAATAAACAATAAATTATTGTTATCATAGAGATTTATCAAAATATCACAAGCACCTCAGAAACATGTACAATAGTTGTGTATCAATTTCTTAATTAACAATAAAAACTGAAAAATATTTAATTGACAAAGAAATTACTAAAAAGCATTATTCACATCATAATCACTTTTTCAATTAACTATTTTCTCATTCAGCTACATATTATATTAACAGTACAGCTGTGATCATGTGAGCACATGAGAAATGTGTATCATTTTTATTAAGAATTAACAAATTCGAGACTTAAACATTCGTGACTGCCAGCTCTGAGGAGAGCAGTGGATCACCCAGCACAGTGCCCGAGCTCTGCTAAGGAACAGACTGCCTCCTCAAGTGGGTCGCTGACCCCCATGCCTCCTGACTGAAAGACACCTCCCAGCAGGGATCGACAGACACCTCATACAGGAGAGCTCCAGCTGGCATCCAGCAGGTGCCCCTCCTAAACAAAGCTTCCAGAGGAAGGAACAGGCAGCAATCTGTGCTGTCCGGCAACCTCTGCTGGTGATACCCAGGTGAACAGGGTCTGGAGTGGACCTCCAGCAAACTCCAGGAGACCTGCAGCAGAGAGGCCTGATGGTTAGAAGAAATACTAACAAACAGAAAGGAATAGTATCAACATCAAGAGAAAAATGTCTACTCAGGATCCCATCTGAAGGTCACCAACATCAAAAGCCAAAGGTATATAAATCCATGAAGATGAGAAAAAAAAAACAGCACAAAAAGGCTGAAAATACCAAAAATCAGAGCACCTCTTCTACTCCAAAGATCACAAATCCTCACCAGCAAGGGAACAAAACTGGATCGAGAATGAATTTGACAAATTGACAGAAGTAGGCTTCAGAAGGTGGGTAATAACAAACTCCTCTGAGCTAAAGGAGCATGTTCTAACCCAATGCAAGGAAGCTAAAAACCTTGAAAAATGTTTAGAGGAATTGCTAACTAGAATACCAATTTAGAGAAGAATATAAATAACCTGATGGAGCTGAAAAACACACCACGAGAACTTCGTAAAGAATACACAAGTATCAATAGCTGAATCAATCAAGTGGAAGAAAGTATATAAGAGATGGAAGATCAAATTAATGAAATAAAGCATGAAGCCAAGATTAGAGAAAAGAGAATGAAAAGGAATGAACAAAGCATCCAAGAAATATGGGACTATGTGAAAAGACCAAACCTACATTTGATTGGTATACCTGAAAGTGACTAGAAGAATGGAACCAAGTTGGAAAACACTCTTCAGGATATTATCCAGGAGACCTTCCCCAGCCTAGCAAGACAGGCCAACATTCAAATTCAGGAGATAGAGAGAACACCACAAAGATACTCCTCAAGAAGAGCAACCCAAAAACATGTAATTGTCAGATTCACCAAGGTTGAAATGAAGGAAAAAATATTAAGGGCAGCCAGAGAGAAAGGTCAGAATACCAACAAAAAGAAGCCTCTCAGACTAACAGCAGATCTCTCTGCAGAAACCCTACAAGCCAGAAGAAAGTGGGGGCCAATATTCAACATTCTAAAAGAAAAGAATTCTCAACCCAGAATTCTATACCCAGCCAAACTAAGCTTCATAAGCAAAGGAGAAATAAAACTCTTTACAGACAGCAAATAATGAGAGATTTTGTCACCCCCAGGCCTACCTTACAAGAGCTTCTAAAGGAAGCAATAAATGGGGAAAGGAAAAGCCGGTACCAGCCACTGCAAAAACATACCATATTGTAAAGATGATCGACATTATGAAAAAAGTGCATTAACTAATGGGCAAAATAACCAGTTAGCATCATAATGACAGGATAAAATTCACACATAACAATACTAACCTTAAATGTAAATGAGCTAAATGCCCCAATTAAGAGACACAGACTGGCCAACTGGAAAAAGAGTCAAGACCCATCAGTGTGCTGTATTCAGGAGACCCATCTCATGTGCAAAGACACACATAGGCTCAAAGTAAAGGAATGGAGGAACATCTACCAAGCAAATGCAAAGCAAAAGACTTCAAGGGTTGCAATCCCAGTCTCTGATAAAACAGACTTTAAACCAACAAAGATCAAAGAAGACAAAGAAGGGCAATACATAATGGTAAAGGGATCAATGCAACTATCCTAAATATATATGCACCCAATACAAGAATACCCAAATTCATAAAGCAAGTTCTTAGAGACCTACAAAGAGACTTAGACTCCCATACAATAATAGTGGGAGACTTTAACACCCCACTGTTAATATTAGACAGATCAATTAGACAGAAGATTAACAAGAATATTAAGGACTTGAACTCAGCTCTGGACCAAGTGGACCTAATAGACATCTATAGAACTCTCCACCCCAAATCAACAGAACATACATTATTCTCAGCACCACATAGCACTTATTCTAAAATTGACCACATAATTGGAAGTAAAACTCTCCTCAGAAAATGCAAAAGAATGGGAATCATAACAAACAGTCTCTCAGACCACAGTTTAATCAAATTCGAACTCAGGATTAAGAAACTCACTCAAAACTGTAAAACTGTATGGAAACTGAACAATGTGCTCCTGAATGACTACTGGGTAAATAACAAAATTATGGCAGAAATAAATAGATTCTTTGAAACCAATGAGAACAAAGACACAACATACCAGAATCTCTGGGACACAGCTAAAGCAGTGTTTACAGGGAAATTTATAGCACTACATGCCCACAGGAGGAAGGGGGAGAGATCTAAAATCAACGCCCTACCATCACAATTAAAAGAACCAGAGAAGCAAGAGTAAACAAAGTCAAAAGCTAGCAGAAGATAAGAAATAACTAAGAACAGAGCAGAACTGAAGGAGATAGAGACATGAAAAATCCTTCAAAAATCAATGAATCCAGGAGTCGGTTTCTTGAAAAGATTAACAAAATAGATAAACTACTAGCCAGACTAATAAAGAAGAAAAGAGAGAAGAATCAAATAGACAGAATAAAAAATGATAAAGGAGATATTACCACTGATCCCACAGAAATACAAATTACCACCAGAGAATACTGTAAACACCTCTATGCAAATAAATTAGAAAATCTAGAAGAAAGGGATAAATTCCTGGACACATACATCCTCCCAAGACTAAACTAAGAAGAAATCCAGTTCCTGAATAGACCAATAACAAGTTCTGAAATTGAGGCAGTAATTAATAGCCTACCAACAAAAAAAGCCTAGGACCAGATGGATAAACAGCCGAATTGTACCAGAGGCACAAAGAAGAGCTGCTATCATTCCTTCTGAAACTATTCTAAACAATAGAAAAAGAGGGACTCTTCCCTAACTCATTTTATGAGGCCAGCATCATTCTGATACCAAAGCCTGGCAGAGACACAATGAAAAAAGAAAATTTCAGGCCAATATCCATTATGAACATTGATGCAAAAATCCTCAATAAAATACTGGCAAACCAAATCAAGCAGTACATCAAAAAGCTTATTCACCATGATCAAGTCAGCTTCATCCCTGAGATGCAAGGGTGGTTCAACATACACAAATCAATAAACATAATCCATCACATAAACAGAACCAATGATAAAAACCCCATGATTATTTCAATAGCTGCAGAAAAGGCTTTTGATAAAATTCAACAACCCTTGATTCTAAAAACACTCAATAAACTAGGTATTGATGGAACATATCTAAAAATAGTAAGAGGTATTTATGACAAACCCACAGCTAATATCATACCGAATGGGCAAAAGCTGGAAGCATTCCCTTTGAAAACCAGCACGAGACAAGGATGCCCTCTCTCACAACTCCTATTCAACACAGTATTGGAAGTTCTGGCCAGGGCAATCAGGCAAGAGAAAGAAATAAAGCATATTCAATTAGGAGGAGAGGAAGTCAAATTGTATCTGTTTGCAGATAACATGATTGTATATTTAGGAAACCCCATCACCTCAGCCCAAAATCTCCTTAAGCTGATAAGCAACTTCAGCAAAGTCTTAGGATACATAATCAATGTGCAAAAATCACAGGCATTTCTATACACCAATAATAGACAAACAGAAAGCCAAATCATGAATGAGCTCCCATTCACAATTGCTACAAAGAGAATAAAATACCTAGGAATACAACTTACAAGGGATGTGAAGGACCTCTTCAAGGACAACTACAAACCACTTCTCAAGGAAATAACAGAGGACATAAACAAATGGAAAATCATTCCATGATCATGGATAGAAAGAATCAATATAGTGAAAAAGGCCATACTGCCCAAAGTAATTTATAGATTCAATGCTATCCCCATCAAGCTACCACTGACTTTCTTCACAGAATTAGAAAAAACTACTTTAAATTTCATATGGAACCAAAAAAGAGCCCATCCCGTATTGCCAAGACAATCCTAAGCAAAAAGAACAAAGCTAGAGGCATCACACTACCTGACTTCAAACTATACTAAAAGGGTACAGTAACCAAAACAGCATGGTACTGGTACCAAAACAGATATATAGACCAATGGAACAAAATAGAGGCCTCAGAAATAATGCCACATGTCTACTACCATCTGATCTTTGACAAACCTGACAAAAAACAAGCAATGGGGAAAGGATTCCCTATTTAATAAATGGTATTGAAAAAACTGGCTGGCCATATGCAAAAAGCTGAAACTGGACCCCTTCTTTACACCTTATACAAAAACTAACTCAAGATGAATTAAAGACTTAAATATAAGACCTAAAAACATAAAAACCCTAGAAGAAAACCTAGGCAATACCATTCAGGATGGGCAAAGACTTCATGACTAAAACACCAAAGCAATGGCAACAAAAGCCAAAATAGACAAATCAGATCTAATTAAAGTAAAGAACTTCTGCACAGCAAAAGAAACTAACAACAGAGTGAAAAGGTAACCTACAGAATGGGAGACAATTTTTGCAATCTATCCATCTGACAAAGGGCCAATATCCAGAATCTACAAGGAACTTAAACAAATTTACAAGAAGAAAACAAACAACCCCATCAAAAAGTGGGTGAAGCAAATGAATCAACACTTCTCCAAAGAAGACATATATGTGGCCAACAAACATGAAAAAAAGCTCATCATCACTGGTCATTAGAGAAATGCAAATCAAAACCACAGTGAGGTACCACCTCATGCCAGTTAGAATGGCGATCATTAAAAAGTTAGGAAACTACAGATACTGGAGAGGATATGGAGAAATAGGAATGCTTTTATACTGTTCTTGGGAGTGAAAATTAGTTCAACCATTGTAGAAGACAGTGCAGCAATTCCTCAAGGATCTAGAACCAGCAATACCATTTGACCCAGCATTCCCATTACTGGGTATATACCCAAAGGATTATAAATCATTCTAATATAAAGACACAAGCACACGTATGTTTATTGCAGCACTGTTTACAATAGCAAAGACTTGGAACCAACCCAAATGCCCATCAATGATAGTCTGGATAAAGAAAATGTGGCACATATAACCCATGGAATATTATGCAGCCATAAAAAAAAGGATGAGTTCATGTCCTTTGCAGGGACATGGATGAAGCTGGAAATCATCGTTCACAGCAAACTAACACAGGAACAGAAAACCAAACACTGCATGTCCTCACTCATAACTGGGAGTTGAAAAATAAAAACATATGGACACAGGGAGGGGAGCATCACACACTGTGGTCTTTTAGGGGGTGGGGGGCCAGGGGAGGGATAGCATTAGGAGAAATACCTAATGTAGATGACAGGTTGATGGGTGCATCAATCACCATGGCACGTGTATACCTATGTAACAAACCTCCACGTCTACACATGTATCTCAGAACTTAAAATATATAATATATAATATATATGTATAAAGTATATATATAAAGTATATATAAAGTATATATACATATATAAAGTATATATAAAGTATATACATATATAAAGTATATACATATATAAAGTATATATATATAAAGTGTGTATATACACACACACACACATATATATAGGAATTGCTCCTAACCAGAGTAATCAGGCAAGAGAAAGAAAAAAATGGCATGTAAATAGGAAGAAAGAAAGGCAAACTATCTGTTTGCAGACCACATGATACTATATCTAGAAAACCCCATTGCCTCAGCATAAAAGCTCCTTCAGCTGATACACAACTTCAGCAAAGTTTCAGAATACAAATCCATATACAAAAATCACTAGCATTACTATACACCAACAGCCAAGCCAAGAGCCAAATTAGAAAGGCAATCCTTTTCTAATTTGGGAATTACAATTGCCACAGAAAGGATAGAATACTTAGGGGTACAGCTAACCAGGTAGGTGAAAGATCTCTACAATGAGAATTACAAAGAAATCAGATCCGTGCTTAAAGAAATCAGAGAAGACACAAACAAATGGAATAACATCCCATGCTCGTGGATAGGAAGAATCAATATTATTAAAATGGCCATACTGCCCAAAGCAATTTACATATTCAATGATATTCCTATCAAAATACCAACAACATTCTTTGCAGAACTAGGAAAATCTATTTTAAATTTCATATGGAACAAAAACAAAGCCCGAATAGCAAAGGCAATCCAAAGCAAAAAGAACAAAGCTAGAGGCATCACCCAACTTTAAACTACACTACAGAACTATGGTAACCAAACAGCATTGTACTGGTACAAAAACAGGTACATAGACCAATGGAACAGAATAGAGAGCCCAGAAATAAGAATGCACACCTATGACCAGTTGATCTTCAACAAAACTGACAAAAACAAAGGGGAAAAGACTCCCTATTCCATCAAACATGCTGGGATAACTAGCTAATATCCAGCTTCTATGAGGAACTTAAACAAATTTATGAGAGAAAAACAAACAACCCCATTAAAAAGTGGGCAAAGGACATGAACAGACACTTTTCCAAAGAACACATACATGTGGCCAGTAAGCATATGAAAAAAAAAAAAAGCTCAATATCACTGGTCATCAGAGAAATGCAAATCAAATCCAGAATGAGATACCATCTCACACCAGTCAGAATGGCTATTATTAAAACGTAAAAAAATAACAGATGCTGGCAAGGTTGCAGAGAAAAGGGAACACTTATATGCTGTTGATGGGAGTATAAATTGGTTAAGCCAATGTGGAAAACAGTATGGCTATTCCTCAAAGAGCTAAAAGCAAAACTACCATTCAACCCAGCAATCCCATTACTGGGTATACACCCAGAAGAATAGAAATCATTTTACTGTAAAGACACATGTGGCCAGGTGCGGCAGCTCTCAGCTATAATCCAAGCACTTTGAGACCAGCGTGGGCAACATGGCCAAACCGCATTTCTACCAAAAATACAAAAATTAGCCGGGTGTGGTGGTGCATGCCTGTGGTCCCAGCTACCAGGGAAGCTGAGATGGGAGGATCACCCGAGACTGGGGAGGTCAAGACTGCAGTGAGCCATGATTGTGCCACTGCGCCGCAGCCTGGGCGAGAGAGTGACATCCTGTCTCAAAAAAAAAAAAAAAAGGATACAGCACATGTGCAGGTAAATGTTCATCACAGCACTATCCAGAAAAGCAAGACATGGAATCAACCTAAATGCCTACCAATGACAAATTAGATTTTAAAAATGTGGTATATACAGCTATAAAAAAAAGATCATGTATTTTGTGGGAGCATGGATGGAGCTAGAGGCCATTATCCTTAGCTAACTAATGCAGGAACAAATAAATAAATACCACATGTTCTCACTTATAAGTGGGAGCTAAATTATGAGAACTCATAAACACAAAGAAGGAAAAAACAGAAACAGATTTTCTTGAGGGTGGAAGGTGGGAGAAGGGGTAGGAGGGGAAAAAGATAACTATTGGATACTGAGCATAATACATGGGTGATGAAATAATCTGTACAACAAACCCCTGTGACACAGTTTCCCTTCTGTAACAAACCTTCACACGTACCCCTGAACCTAAAATAAAGTTTTTATTAGAAAAAAAAAAGTCGAAGTCAGCAGAAATGCTTGGGTTTAAGATAGGGGGAGTTGTGGAAGCCAAGGTTCTTGTTATGTAAATAAAGTCTTCAGGTGGCAGGCTTCAGAAAAAATTAAGTAGTAAATGTCTCTTATGAGATCTTAAAAAGTGTCAGACTATTAGTTAAATCTCTCCTGGATCTGGAAAAGACCTGGAAAGGGTAGCGAATTCTATACAGAATGTAGATTTTCCCCACAAGAAACAATAATATAGGTGTTATAAACAAATTATTTAGGCAGATAGTGAGGGTAAGGAAATCCTTCCTGGGTAAGGTTTTCCTTTTAATAAAAAGCAGCCCCCAAATCATTTTTTCTAACAAAGAGCAGCCTGTATAGAATCTAGCTGCAGACATAGACAAGCAAACAGGAAGTTTGCATTGATCAATGCTGGCAGTTGTGCTAATAGAAAAAGGCTACCTGGGATTAAGCATGATCAAAATGGTGGCTCCATCTTCCCTTCTCTTTGTCAGCCACGTGTAGAATAAGGAGCAGACAAGATGGTGCTGGCCATAAGATTAAGGTGGGTCAACCAGACTTCCCTGCGGGCTATGTAAATGTCACACCTGGTAGAACCAATCTGTGACCCTGTGTAAATCAGACACCGGCTCCTCCTCAAGCTTGCCTATAAAATCTGCTGTGGTCTGCCGCAAGCCAGTTGTTTCCCTTTCAAAAACTTCTTTCTCACGAGGGAGAGAGAGAGAGAGAGCTGCTTGCCTCTCTCCTTTCTTCTGCCTGTTAAACTCTCTGCTCCTTAACACACCCACATGTGTCCGTGTCCTTAATCTTCTTAGTGCAAGACGATGAACCCTGGGTATTTACCCCAGACAACGATGCCACTTCAACAGCTTTTCAAAGGCATTCCAAAAGGTGTCAAAGAAATCTATTTTGGGGTAAAATACTTTGATTTCTTTCAGGACTGGCTATCTATCATGTGATGCTATACTAGAGTCAGGTTGCAATTTGGTATGTTATTGCTATAAGGAATCTGTTTTGTCAGTCTTAATTAAGATCTCTGTTTTAAAGTTAATAATGCTGGTAAGTTATGCCTGAATTCCAAAGGGAGGAGAGTATGTCCCTGCAAAGCTGCTTCTGGTGGGGGAAATTTACATTCTGTAGCGAATCGCCTTTGCTTTCCAGGTCTTTTTCTGATCCTGAAGAGTTTAGTTGAGAGTCCAGTACCTTTTAAAGGTCTGAATACAAAATATTTCCCATCTATTGCTTGTAAGGGTGACCACTTATGAGACTTCATCTACATAATAAGAACCTTGTTCTCTACAATCCCTTATTTTAATCCAGACACTCCTTTCTATTGATTCTAGGCATTTAAATAGTAACAAGTTTTTCAACCAATTGCCAATAAGAAAATCTTTGAATTTACCTTTGATGTGGAAGGCCCCACTTTGAGTTGTTCCACCTTTCATGACTGAACCAACACAGACCCCACATGTATTGACTGATTTTTTACATGCTCCTAAAATGTAAATCAAGTTGTAATTCAATCACCTTGGGCACTTGTTCTCAGGATGTCTTGAGACTGCGCCTCAGGCCGTCAATTACTCACATTTGGCTCAGAATAAAACTCTTTAAATATTTCATGGAGTTTGACTCTTTTTTGTTGACAATTTTTTCTTCAAGAGTGTCTCAGAATTAATGATACTTGATATTCTATATACAACTTGGTATTCTATATACATTTTAGAATAATCTTAGAAAATTTTACAAATAGTCTGAATTTTGATTGAGTTAGCACTGAATATAGAGATCAAAGATATAATTAATATCTATACAATTTTGAATCATCTATGAATAGTTGTAATCACTTTGAATTTTCTACATACATAATCATATATATAATAATGAAATTTTATTTCTTCTACTGCAATCTTGCTTGTTCCTTGTCTTATCCTATTATACTGGCTAAAGTCTCTACAACAAAGTAGTTTGAATGGAAATGGAAATAGAAGGTGTCCTTGTCTTTTCCTCAATTTCAAAGAGAAAATTTTCAACATATTCATAATGCTTGCTGAAAGGGTTTTCGGATCCTGTTTAACAGATTAGGATCTATCATTCTTTTCATAGCTTACTAAGTCATTTTTATTATTTTTATATATTTTGAGACTCATCAAATACTTGATTTTTTATCTGATGATATGATTATAAAATGTTGTTTCTTTATTGTGTTATTTTGCTAACACAATGAAAAAATGAATTTCATTTTTTTCTGGAATAAATTTACTTTCAGCAGTGTGTAGAATATTTTAAATAATTGAATTAATTGGTAATATTTTCAAATCTATGTTAATTCATGGGACTATCATGCAATTTTAAAATTTTGTTTTGTTGCCAAAGTTATACTTGACTAAAATAGTATTTGAAACTTGCCTTCTATTTTTTAAACCTCTGGCATATATAAAAATTTCCTACAAATGAATTTGGAAAAAGTCAAGGACTTGAATGGATACTACACAAAAGATTTCTCAATGACTATAAATATAAGAGAAACTGGTCAACTTCATTAGTTAGTAGGTGAGTACAAATTAAAATCATAATGATATATTCATGATATATCACCAGAATGGCTAAAATTAAGAGGACAGAAAACACTGTTAGTATAGATTTGGAGCAACTGTAATTCTCACCATACTGTGGAGTTTAAGTTTGTGCAACCAACTTCCAGAATTGGTGGTATCTACCAAAGCTGAATATATGCATACCTCAAACCTAAGCAATTTCTCCACAGTATCGTCCCTGCCAAAATGCTTACATTTCTTACCAAACACATATACTAAAGTGACTGCAGCAGCAATATTCACAAAAGACAAAAATCATAAGCACCCAAATGTCTAGCCTATCAGTACTACAAAGGATAAAATAGTTGTGGCATATTTATACAATGAAATACAATGCAGTAAAAATATAGTGCTGTATTGGTATATGCAACCACATAAATGAATCTCCCAAAGATAACATTGAATAAATATAAGCAGAAACAAAAGAAATAATGCTGTATGATTTTGTTTATATATAGTTCAAAAAAATCATAATAATGGTTACAAGGGGCAGGTATAAGTAGCATAAGGAAATGAAATTGAGAGTCATTCTAGAATGTTTCTTACATTGTTTTCTTGATCAAAATTTGTTCACTTTGTAATAATTAAGTTGCACCTTCATGAACTATTTTATATAAACTTTTTTTTTTTTGCCTTCAGCAAACATTTTTTTTTCTTTTTTTCTTTTTTTTATTATACTTTAAGTTCTAGGGTGCATGTGCACATTGTGCAGGTTAGTTACATATGTATACATGTGCCATGCTGGTGCGCTGCACCCACTAACTAAACTATTTTTTTAAATGAAAGCTTTCATAAAAATCTAGATTCCATTGAGAATTCAGAATATTTTGCAATCCTGGGGCTCAATGCATAGAAAATTGGTCAACTAGCGCTCAGCAGTTGTTGTTTTCTTCAGATGTGGCATGTGCAGCAAAATGTTCACCACTCTTTTATTACTGCATATAGACCTCAGCTAAATGTTTGTTGACACTTATCATTGCATTTCTACAATTGTTTTTCTTATACCTTATCCACTCAGTCATTCATATCACCTGCTTGTACTTGAATATGCATTAGATTTTTCTTGGACCCTAAAATATTTATAGAATTTGCCTTAAACAAATAGAGGTTCACTTCCTCTATTGAGACCTGAAAAAAAATCATAAAGGAAGAGTATGAATGTATATACATTTATAGGTGACAGACAGGAAGTTAATGGAATTTCCCCCTGGGCCCTCTGTTTTGTCTTGGAAGTCAGGGCAAGATAACCTGCTTGGAGAGCTGTGGGACACTGGATTGGAGGATTTAAGAATTTGTTGAACATTTGCTATGGTGATGCAAGAGACAAACAGGATACACACAGAATGACCTCTGGACAGAAGAGAGCCCATTGGAAGTTGAGAAAGACCAGGGGTGTTTAAGGGCGCCGTTCAAAACATTTATATATTTATCTCCAGCAACAGTCAAGTGCCTATTAGATATGAGGGAAAAGGCCCTGTTGGAAGGCTGCAGGCCTGCCGTTTTTGTCTCAGTAGAGGTGAGGTAAAGGCAAGGTGCCCCAAAATTTAAAGTTATTAAGAAGAGAATTTAAAGTTATGAGTCAACAGGATAAATTAATTATATGTACTTGCATATATAAAATACTAGATTTTTGATAGAAACTTAACAGCAGAAATGAGAAAATTGAACGTTGGGAGGCTATGAGGGCAGAAGTTAAATATCTTTGTGGTTTTGCCTAGATTTACACAATATTGAAAGATCAGAGAGTCAAAATTATTTCTTTCAGAATAATCTCCTGGGACATTTCATCTTTGGATACTACAGAGCCTGATATTAATTGCATGTTGGGAGAACTGTGTCCCTGGGATCTTTTTGGATTCAGTGTCCTGCGTCCTTGCCAGTGTCTCCTGATTTGCTGATCTTCAGTGATCTCCAATCTCAAATAACAGCCCCGACAACCAATACATGAGCCTTAGACACTGAGTTGTCACTTGAAGGTAATAATGGTTTGAACTCTATGGCTTAAGCTTCCTTTCTGTATTAAAATATGATTATTAGTGTGAAAAAAATGTGGAAAACTTTTTTTCTTGTAACATATTTATTTCTTTTTATGCTTTGATTTTATTTCTATACCATGCCCATGATTCTTAACTTTTAATGGCGAACTGGTTTAAAGTGATGTTCATCTGGGTGAGGGGAGATTATATAGTGCACATGTTAAATTTTGCATCATGGTAAAATAAAATTCTTCTACAAGCCTAAAACAAACATATTCCTACAAATAAGGAGCTGGTTCATGACTGTGAATTGATCTCTCATCGCGTTTCTTTGGAGGTATTGTGTGTGAGTGTGTGTTAAAAATACAGGAGAAGTCTCCTTTGATTGGGATGGGTAAATTGACAATGAGCAGGCTGCATTAAACAGATTAGAACAAGAGTGATGTGTGTCTGGCTTTATTTTATTCCTTTGATACAAGTAAAACGAGTACAATTTAGTGTAGCTAAATGGGTGGGAATTAACATAAATGAGAGAATCGGAAGACTTACGCATGTATGTATGTTTTTATGGGTATGTATGTGTATAACTGTGAGTGAAATTATTAGAACTATATATATTTAGTATACGTTATATTGAATATATTACATGTAGCATATTTATAAACTGGTTTATTCCTTAAGGGTCCTTTCATGTTCTCTTTTTACTATTGTGCTCTCCTCCCCCTATTTTGAGGGATCACTCAGTGTCTTCATCCTTTTATGGGGTACCCATGCCTCCTCTGACTTTTCCTGTGACTTCTTTTCATTTCCATTGAGTACTGCTAAGTACAATTTTTAGATGATAAGTGAAATAAATATTAAAAAAGCAGTGAAAATTACCTTATATATTTTACTTTAATGACTAATTTTCAGAACAAATATTAATGCAATTTCAGGATATACAGTTATTGTAGGGGAAGAATTTTAGGCTGGAGTAATTTTTCCTGATGCCACGTGGAAAGTGCCTATTTGTCCTATATATGAGGTAAAGTCGTGAAATTTGGGTATATACTTTGTATCTGTGAATATATTTTAAACTTCTGCATTTATAAGTGTTTGGACTTTTAAAAAGCTGATTAAAAATTTTGATCTTTTCATCTTCTAGAAGATAAACATTCTATGTTGGTTTGATGCCTCTTAGTCTCACTAAAGAGCCCTTCTTACCCTGATCACCACTCTTTCCATTCAGATTCAACTACCTCTTCATTCAACACACAAGACCAGAGAGCTAACTCCCTTCCCTAACACCACACACCAAAGAAGAGAAGGAGAACTTTGCAAATCAGGACTATCATAGATGAATCCAGCTTATAGGCCAGAAGGTAAACTAGATGACTAAACATGAGGTGTGCTGCATAATGCTTGCATAAGAATATCTTTGCTGAATAAACTGCATGAGTTTACGTCATCAGTATGCTGGTGGACTAAATGAGTTAACGAATCCCTAAAGAAAATAAGTCATTGAAAGTATGTGTCCATATAATTAAACATTAAGTTATAAATGTTAATATTATTACTTTCAATAGCCAAATGTTTGCCATTTTATAGGAAAAATAACCTCTATAATCTCCAGAAGCGAGCTACCATTCATATAAAGAAAAACCTTAAAAAATGCCCAACTCAGAATTTACAATTGAAGAATGGAAATGCTATTTATATTAATTATTTGCATATATTAACCATTACTGAGTTTTTTCACTGAATTTGAACAATTTGTCCTGAGTTATAAATTAATTGAATGTACTTTATTCCTTTGACATTTTCTTTCTTTCTGCCTTTATTTTTTCTGTGATACACTTTATCTCAGCTTCTAATAGTTATCAGTCAGGAAAATACTGCTTCCACAATAGCCTTCATGTATCTCTCTGTATTATGTATTTTCTTTAAGGTCTTCTTTTGTGATTTCTATATCAAAATTTATTCCATGGGTCACTGTAACATCTCTGAGTCAGTGTTTTGATTAGAGATTAATCAAAACTTTTTAAAGATTGATATTTTGCCCAATGGCCAACACATTATCCTCCCTGAATTCTTGTAATGTGTTTCTCCTAGTTCTGAACAGGGTGATGGGCATGACCAACAGCAGTGTCAAGGGAGACTTCATCCTGGTGGGTTTCTCTCATCAGCCCCACCTGGAAAAGATCCTCTTTGTGGCTGTTTTGATATCCTATCTCCTTACCCTTGTGGGAAATACAGTAATTATTCTGATCTGCTCTGTAGACCCTAAACTCAAGACACCCATGTATTTTTTCTTACTCACCTCTCCTTAGTTGATATCTGTTTTACCACCAGTATTGTCCCCCAGCTGCTGTGGAACCTAAAAGGACCTGACAAAACAATCACATTCCTGGGTTGTGTCATCCAGCTCTACATCTCCCTGGCATTGGGCTCCACTGAGTGTGTCCTCCTGGCTGTAATGGCTTTTGATCGCTATGCTGCAGTTTGCAAACCTCTCCACTATACCGCCGTAATGAACCCTCAGCTGTGCCAGGCTCTGGCAGGGGTTGCGTGGCTGAGTGGAGTGGGAAACACTCTTATCCAGGGCACTGTCACCCTCTGGCTTCCTCGCTGTGGACACCGATTGCTCCAACATTTCTTCGTGAGGTACCCTCCATGATTAAGCTTGCATGTGTGGACATCCATGATAATGAGGTTCAGCTCTTTGTTGCTTCACTGGTCTTGCTCCTCTTGCCCTTAGTGCTAATACTGCTGTCCTATGGACATATAGCCAAGGTGGTCATAAGGATCAAGTCAGTCCAGGCCTGGTGCAAAGGCCTGGGGACATGTGGATCCCATTTGATAGTAGTGTCCCTCTTCTGTGGGACCATCACAGCTGTCTACATCCAGTCCAACAGTTCTTATGCCCATGCTCATGGGAAGTTCATCTCCCTCTTCTATACAGTTGTGACCCCGACCCTCAATCCTCTCATCTACACACTGAGGAATAATGACGTGAAAGGAGCACTGCGATTATTTAACAGAGACTTAGGCACATAAAAAATGAAGCAGAGTACACAGCGCTCAACTTTTTTCACAAAGCAACTTTAAAGGTCATCTTGTATAATTTTTCACTCAAGAACTTTGCCAGTCTGTAAAGGAAGAGATGTAATCTTCTCCATCTGCATTACTGTATTTCACTTGGCCTCAGAGCTTTCTATCCTCTCCAATCTCTTTCCAGACTTCTTTTGAGCCCATGTAAGGCAATATTCCCCCATGCCTTTTAGATCTCCATGAGTCACATCATTTCTGTTTCTCGCTCTCCCCGGCTTCCTGTGCTTTTCTTTAGCCTTCCTTCCTTTCTTGCTTTTTTCCTTCCCTTCCTTCCGTTTCCACCTTTTATTTATTCATTAAAAAAAGACATATAAGCCCTCAAACACAATTTTGGTATACAAGGTCTTGTTTATTATATAATAGTCATTGTTTTGGATCAACTCAGAGAAAAGTATAGAGCCCTTCTTGAATTACTTAAAACTTAACTATAAATTAGGGCATGCTTTATTTAAATATACTCAAGCACTGAAAAGGAATAGGTATCTGTGTTCTAGAGCAGGCTGTGGCAAACTGGGGGAACAGGCCAAATCACTCATTCTAACACTTGATAACATGATTTTTTATTTCAGTTATTCACAAGAAGGGACATTCACCAGCAGTTAGTAATTAATGATATCTTTTCCATCTTCAATTAAACAGAGAGTTCACAGAATTCCATCTGGGGCCTGCTTTGAAACTATGCACACTTGGCAAAAGGAAAAGAGCTCAGATCCAAACAGGACATGGGTACCAGTGTTTTATAAATCAAAATTTCTCACCCTTAGCCCTATGGACATTTTGGAACAGATAATTTTCTGTTGTCAGGGTCTCTCTTCTGCATTTTAGGATGCTCAGCAGTATCTTTGGCCTCTGTGCACTAGATGCTAGTAGCATCTCCTTTCCCCCCAAGTTGTGACAAGCAAAAATACCTCCAGACATTGTCAAATATGCCCTAGGAAGCAAAAATGCTCCTGGCATAGAAGCACTGCCATAAATCAGGGCATATTGCTATATCAAGAGGCATGTTTTATTACATGGGAGTAAGCCTACAGGGTCAGAGTGAGACTAGCAGCAGTCATTCTAGTGCACAAAGCATAGGTGTGCACATAGAAACACAAAAGCACAGGAACATATACAAACATATTTGATAAAATGTTTTTAGTGTCCTTTTGTTTCATTATGTATGGTTTTAAATTTTCATTTTTATAATAAGAGAAAAGGCCATTTTGACATATGTTGAACTATCTTTTTCAGAGCAATGTTATTTCATTAAAAATTTTTTTGAAGGGAAGATTTTACTTTAATTTTATATTATTAAATAGTGAGGCATGAGGTAAAATCGGTGGAAATGAGAACGTGAAGTAAATGCTCAGTGATTCCAATTGCATTCACCTCTCCAACATGGCATCTGCTGTTTAGGGAGGCGGGGTTATCCAGCTTCTGGATCTGGGTGTGGGCATGGGATAGTCAGATGGGAATGGCACCAGTTGGAGGAACATGGGTAAGAGAGGGTGAAAGGTAAAGTGCTATCTCTGAGGTAGGTTAGGGTCTGACATCTGGAAAGTTGGGGAAGGAAGGAGCCCTAAGGAGATATAGCCTAGGGCTTTTCCAGCTACTTTGACAGCCATTTGTTCTGTTACGAGATCCCGATGTCACTTGAACAAGACCCTCAGTGGGCCTCATCTTGGCTCCATTACTTTCTGAAAGCTTTTTCTTCATCTTCCGTTTTTTCTTGGGTTCAACACCAGATGGTGCCAGCAGACCATAATGTATCCAGCAAATTCTTCCTGTCATATCCAGCCTCGTCTGCCTTACCCAAAGCTTCATGGGCTTTTTCGGTGAAATTTCTCCTAATTCCCTTCCTCTGCCTAATCCTCCTATTTCTCTGTTGAAAACAATAGCAATGTCTTCCCTACCATAAAAATCCTTGTGTGCCTTTATAATCCAAACACACTAGATAACTGTACAATGACAATACTTGTCATTTGTCCTGTGACTATGCCTTAATATGTTAAAATTTATTTCTTTATACATAAAAATGTATTTCAAGTATAAATAACTGGTTCTGAGTTTGCCATTTTATATAATTTGGAGAGTTCCTGAAGTCAAGAATTTAGAACCATGGAACTCTACACTGAAAAGCCACCAGCCAGGGCCAGCACATACCCAGAAGTTATTGTTTTGGGAATGGTCTGTCAATTTGGGGTCCGGGGTTTAGTGGATGTGCATGTGGAAGAAGGAGAAAGAGAAAACAGTTTTTGAATAGCTAGAGCGTTCTGTGATTGAGCAAAATAACAGTGTGTTTGCTGGGCCTTTTACCTTAAGACCTTAGTGAGTTTCTTAGCCTAGATTCTCTAAAAATCAGAGCTTGAGGCAAAAAAGGAAATATTAATGTTTTATTTGGGAATGCAAATAGAGGGCAGCAAAGGTGAGAAAAAAAGGGAACTGAGAGAAGGGAAATATGAAGCAAGGTGAGGTGATACATTTTCACACTGGCTACCACTTCCTGAGAAATTTTAGAAGGCTGCCTCACGGATGCTTTAATCTGCTCTCGCCACTCTCCTTCAGACAAGATAGGAGGAGGAATCTTGCTTTGGGTGAAAGAAAAAAAAAAGAAAGTATTAAAGTATATCAAAGAAGAAGGAGCTGTGTCAAAGGCTGTTAGTATAGTAGGTCAAGTGAGATGAAGATTAAGAACTGACCATTGGATTTAGCAATAAGGAAGTCATCTGTGACACTAAGGGAGGAGTTTTGCTAGAGAAAAAGAAGGCAACAGCCACACTGGAATGGAAGCAAGAGAGAACAGTGGGAGACAACTTAGAGACAGAAAGCATAGAAAACTCATGAATAGTGCTTTGCTGAAGGCAGGAAGAAATGATTCAATAGCTGTAGGGAAAGGGAGGTCAAGAGAAGGCAGAAAGAGTTTTTTTCTGTAAGATGGATGTAATGGCAGCATGCTTGTATTCTATGGTAATGACCTATAGAGTATGCAAAATTACACAGCAGGAGAGTGAGGGTGAACTCAGAAACAAAGTCTTTAGGTCGGTGAGGGGATGGATCCAGGGCAGCAGAGGATTGATCAGCCTTTGCTAGAGCACAAACAGTTCATCAATAGGAACCAGACAGAAAGTAGAATACATGGATATAGAAGCAGGTGGGTGTGTTGAGGTAGTATTGAAATCTGACAGAAATTCCTTTCTGATTTCTCCAATTTTCTCTGAAGTTTTGAAAAGCAGAGGCATCAGTTGGGAGTGAAGAAAAGGAAAGGATGTGCGCTTGGATAGAGCAGAGAAGGTGTGAACAGACACCTGGGAAGAGGGAAAGTACAGAAATTATGAAATATAGAAAACTAACGATTTTCTTTTCTGGATTTTCTTTTTGTTTTGTTGCATTTCGTTTTTTTTCAAAGGTTTATCTGGTGATATGTTATGATCCTGGGGGAGGAAGAGCTGAGCTCTACATTTGGCTCAGTCTATCATGGTGTTTCCCCGTGGGTCTCTTTTTTTCCCACTATATCTCTAACTATTTTATCATTTTCATCAAATGACTTCTTAAATCAATTGAAATAGTCATTTATAAAAGTCATTTGTATATAAACATTCCATTGTTTTCATACTTGTGTTTTAACTATAGTAAATACAGCACTTGATATACAGAAATTTAGTTCCAAATGTCTTTGATTGTTCAACTGCCTTTATAAATCTCCCAGTATAACTTATTTAAAAAACAGAATATTGTACATGTACTATCTAGAAATTAAAATTATTTCTCTTCCCCAACATTTAAGTAATATATATTTAGAAAACACCATCCTAAGAGTTTTAATTCTATTAAGCTTCAATTTGAACTCCTGTATAACAATTTAACAGCAACGAAACTAGAATAGAGAGAATTTTTAATTACTTTAGGACAACAATGATATGGCTATTTTTCCTGGATGTTAAAAGTAGGTTCAGGGCCAGTTGCGGTGGCTCATATCTGTAATCCCAGCACTTGGGAGGCAGAGGCAGGAAGATCGCTTGAGCCCAGGAGTTCAAGACTAGCCTGGGCAAAATAGCAAGACTCCATCTCTACAAAAACATTAAAAAATAATAATAATAAGCAGGTCTATTTGAAGGTAGAATCAATGAGGAAGGTTATCTTCTTCTACTTTAAGATGTATAAATATGTAAATGATCTGAAGTTTTATTTCATTTTCTTGATATATATCAGTAATTACTTAATCTCTGTCCTGGAGATTTTGAAGCTAATTTTCATACTGTGCATTTTCTGGTCCAAAGATTCTTGATTTATTTTATATGCTTAATATGATTTTAAGTGTTCCTTTTATTCTTTTCAGATAATTCAGACTATATTTTGTTTGTGTCCTCTCCAAAGGTTTTACAAAAGCATAAATCAGATTATTGAGAGCTATCTAAGTAATATACATGTTCTGATTTGTTTATTACATCCACTCTAACATACCTGCATCTGTTTTATCTTCTCCAAGTGTCAGAGATTTGCTCTGACTTTTCTTGTTCTTTGGAACTTGTTCTAGGTGTTCTCAGTTCTGACTCACTCTAAGTTATTTCTGTTTATTGAGATATTTTCAATATGTTTATTTCTGTTGGCTTAATCTTTTATTTCATCCTTCAGTTTTTTGTAAAAGCTATTTTGGGTTTTCCCGAAGATGGACGTCTTCATCCAAACTCTACTTTATTGCTATGGCAAGTCTTCATTCATGTGATATAGTTTTAAAGTTATTTTGGCTTTATCCATTTGGTACTGATGGACTTTGACATATCTTCTAGTGACTGAATCCTTGTTTTAATGTCAGACACAAGTCATTATGAACATTTAGATACCTTTTTCTTCCATTTGTTTTCTAATGAGTCCAGTTTAAACTCAAAGAGTTAGATCTTTCAAGTTTTTAATTAACTAATTGCCTTTAAATTTGGAGTTCTTGATAAATTGTTCTCAAGACTAGACTCAATAAGAAAAAAATCTGTAACTCTTCCTATACTTTAAAAATCAGTTTAACCTAACCAAAATCTTCACTTTTTTTCTACCTAGAACAGAACTTCTTATGGAAAATACATTAATCCCTATTTGGATAAAGTCAGCTTTTAACTATTAAAAAAATTCAGATATAGCTGCACTTACCGCCATCTCCCATGTTAAGCCAGAGAGATCTGCTGTGAGTCTCATGTCTCCTGGTAACAGACATGGCCTCACTCAGCTTCTCCAGAATTCGTATAAAGTAAAACTTTATAGCAGTAGGCAGGTACTCTGTAACACCAGCTCTGCCTCAGGTTGCCAGGACCCTCCTATTCTACAACACACTGTAGAGAACACTGTGGAGTATTCTGCTCAGAACCTAAACCAGTGCCTGGCAACCAAGAGAGACCAGCAGTGTGCGTGGCGATAGGGGAGAACAGGCAGTGCTTCCAAAACATTTTCATTTCATAGCACACTTTAAGTTAGATGTACAAGGCTGACTTTCACCAGGGAAGATTGGCCACTGGGACTTTGTTCATCCAAGGCCACATCCATCAATCCCAAAATCTGGGAGGATAGATGTATTTTTACACATGTGCTATTCGGGAATCACTGACAAAGACTGTCAAATGAAAATGATGTGACTCAAAGGCTAAAGACTTTATTCAGGTGATGAGCATTGAGATCTCCTTACTGAAGTCAGATCAGAGTTTTTACAGGATAGAGGAAGTGGAGTACACATCCTCGTTACCTTGTTTTGGCTAAGGCAACAGCTTTCTATTTTAAAATCTCAGTTGGGGGCTTATACCTGCTTTCATGCCCCTTTCATGTCAATAATCATCAGAAAAGTATTTTTTGAGAATGATTTTTGCAAGCCTTGAGGTTTGTTAGTTAGTCAAGGTTCATGGGGTGGGGAGAGAGAGAGGAAGAAAGAAAGGAAAAGAGAGAGGAAGGGAGGAAAGAAAGAAAGAAAGAAGGAAAAAAGAATAAAAGAATAGGAAAGAATAAGAAAAGAGGACAAAGGTAGAAAGCAATGGGGAAACTGGAAACTTCTGTCTTGTTTGTTTTCATTGTTTTACAGAGTTTACATGCTCTCCTTCATGGTCAATATTTTCTTAATGTAAATATTTTTTTAGACCCATAAGGTTCTAATACTCCAAAAAAGTTAAACAAAGCCCTCCTTTTGGCAACCTATCCCTTTTTGTGTTTGGTCAGATCTCAAGTGTAGAAGAAGGAGAATGAAGGGTCTCATAATCAACTTACCACCTTGAATTTCAAATGTAACAACTCAAGGAATCAAAGGGGAACTTGAAAATCCTTCAAATATAAAAGATTTATAATCATGCTATAAATAACACCCAGCCCCTTACTCAGTCACTGTTCTTCATGTTTCCCAATTCTCAAGCAAAACGCAAAAACTTTCTATTCCCTGGCAGAGAGAGGAATAGAATACCATAATCAAACAGGCAGTTAATAATGAGTTGCTATAACAGAAGTTGCCATCCCTTGTTCTTCTCTATTTGTGAACATTCATGAGAACGGCTATTCCTATTCCATACAGTTCCAGTGAGTTCTTGACCATGAAACTGATCACAAGGGTGAACAAGTGATCCAATTTCAACAAGTCAGTTTTTCTTAGTGCTTTGAATCTTCAACAGATGGTATTGTCCAAATGGGGTTACCTGTTACTTCCAATCTGAATTCCCCAGGCCTACCCTGATTCATTTTACTCCAGTAACCTGATGGTCCTACTGGTTCTTTCATTTGGTGGGGTACTCACTGTATCTTTCCAAAATTTATTTTTCTTTTTTTAATTATAAAATTTTATCTTCTCCAATTGATTTTTCTTTTTTTTAAATTATTATTATACTTTTAGTTTTAGGGTACATGTGCACAATGTGCAGGTTTGTTACATATGTATACATGTGCCATGCTGGTGTGCTGCACCCATTAACTGTCATTTAGCATTAGGTATATCTACTAATGCTATCCCTCCCTTCTCCCCCCACCTCACAACAGTCCCCGGTGTGTGATCTTCCCCTTCCTGTGTCCATGTATTCTCATTGTTCAATTCTCACCTATGAGTGAGAACATGCAGTGTTTGGTTTTTTGTCCTTGCGATAGTTTGCTGAGAATGATGGTTTCCAGTTTCATCCATGTCCCTACAAAGGACATGAACTCATCATTTTTTATGGCTGCATAGTATCCCATGGTGTATATGTGCCACATTTTCTTAATCCAGTCTATCATTGTTGGACATTTGGGTTGGTTCCAAGTCTTTGCTATTGTTAATAGTGCCACAATAAACATACGTGTGCATGTGTCTTTATAGCAGCATGTTTTGTAATCCTTTGGGTATATACCCAGTAATGGGATGGCTGGGTCAAATGGTATTTCTAGTTCTAGATCCCTGAGGAATCGCCACACTGACTTCCACAATGGTTGAACCAAAATTTATTTTTCTTAAGATGGCCAGAGGTATTTTCTGTTTTTTACAACCAAAGGACCCTGATACATCTACCACATGTACACGATCATTTTTGAAGTATCAAAAACCAATACATTGAACCCTCTTAAAAACAGTAAAATATTTATGAATGCAGAAAACCTTCTGAGATTCTGATGTTCAGAATTATGAACCTAGTATTGGATGCTAAATAGAACTGTTTTAATAGTGGTAAGAATTGGAATATTATGGATTATCTGAGCTCCTCCTTGTCATAGAGGTGGATCCTGAGTTTTTGGGGACACAGAACTTGTTCACTTTGGTTAGATATCACATAAATTCTAAAGCTCAATCTTTTTGGAAAAATCTGGACACATTTGAGAAAAAGAATACGTCAAGGCATTTTCAGTTCTATACACTTCATTCTCTTACTTTCTTTGTTGAGTCAGGAGAGGACGCTCACTAATACGCAGAGACAAGGGCAGACAGCAAGATCTAGTAGAGGGTAAGAAACAAAAGATACTGCTTCAGGTCCAATGCCCTATGCTCCTTTATTTCCTTAAAGGCACAGGGAGGTCTAGTGCTGGAAAGAGACCCAGAGAGATATATAGATACTGCTACAATAACAGTAATGGAGAGAAACAAAGCAGTAGAGAGACAAAAAGAGACAGAGAAGCAGAGAAACAAAGAGAAACAGATGAAGAGCTTATAGATAAAGGCTGTATGGATAAAGAGCATATGGATAAAATCTGTTTCTCTGCAGAGAAACAGATTTAGAGACATAGGGAGAGAATCTCAGAGAAAGACAAGAGAGTCTCTCCTGCTTAAATAGCTGCAGTGCTCCTCTGTTACTGTTAAAGTCCAAATACAACCCACAAGACCACACCAACCTCTCTAGGCTGTTAATAATACTGTTCCCCCGATTGCCACCCTATAGTCAAACCAGTTTCTTAGAGTCTCTAAGTCACCACTGCCTTCCACATATTTTCTTGCATACACTAAGAGATCAATAAAAATATTTTGAATGAATGGCATATTATCTTGAAGCTGATGAGAAGGCATTGAAGGATGACTACTTTCTTCTCTCTGCCACAGGCTACAATCTACATGGAATATGCATACTCTGACAGTACAAGCATAGAATCAAAACCCAGGTCTCTGATCCACAGAAAGTTCACTGCTCTGTCTACCCCTAAGTAGAATCCTGCTATCCTTACCCACATCTTCCTCAAAGAGGCCACCCTTCTGCTGCCCACCACCTCTCCCCTCTCTTACCCAATGCAGTCACATCCATGTTCATACAGAAGTTAAGGTGTGTATGTAAGGGGTAAAGGTCAGTAGCCTGGCTGAGAAGCCAGTATGTATCTGTTAAGAAATTAGAAATTAGTTTCCTGTCTATTAATAAATTAGTATCTAAGTTAATTAAGAAATCAGATCTCACCAAGAGTGTAAAAGCTGTTTCCTATTTCTCCAAAGCCTTGCTAGCATCTATTATTTCTTGACTTTTTAATAATGGCCATTCTGACTGGTGTGAGATGTTATCTCATTCTGGTTTTGATTTGCATTTCTCTAATAATCAGTGATGCTCCTTATAGATTCTGGATATTAGACCTTTGTCAGATGGATAGATTGCAAAAATTTTCTCCCATTTTATAGGATGCCTGAGTTCAACCATTGTGTAAGACAGTGTGGCAATTCCTCAAAGACCTAGAACCAGAAATACCATTTGACCCAGCAATCCCATTACTGGGTTTATACCCAAAGGAATATAAATCATTTTATTATAAAGATACATGCACACATATGTACTTTGCAGCACTATTCACAATAGCAAAGGCATGGAATCAACCCCAATGCCTATCAATGATAGACTGGATAAAGAAAATGTGGTACATATACACCACTGAGTACTACACAGCCATGAAAAGGAACAAGATCACATCCTTTGCAGAGACATGGATGGAGCTGGAAGCCATCATTCTCAGCAAACTAACACACGAACAGAAGACCAAACACTGCATGTTCTCACTTATAAGTGGGAGCTGAACAATGAAAACACATGGACACAGGGAGGGGAACCACACACACTGGGACCTGTCGGGGATAGGTGGGAAGAGCATCAGGATAAATAGCTAATGCATGTGGGGCTTAATACCTACGTGGTGGGTTAATAGGTGCAGCAAACCACCATGACATACATTTACCTATGTAACAAACCTGCACGTCCTGCAAATGCATCCCGGAACTTAATATTAAATTAAATTTTAAAAAAAGAAATTAGAGGCTGGGCGTGGTGGCTCATGCCTGTAATCCCAGCACTTTGGGAGGCTGAGGAGGGTAGATCATGAGGTCAGGAGTTCAAGACCAGCCTGGCCAAGATGGTGAAATCCCGTCTCTACTAAAACTACAAAAATTAGCCAGGTGCAGTGGCAGGCACCTCTAATCCCAGCTACTCAGGAGGCTGAGGCAGGAGAATTGCTTGAACCCAGGCAGCAGAGGTTACAGTGAGCTGAGATGGCACCACTGCACTCCAGCCTGACCGACAGAGTGAGATTCCATCTAAAAAAAAAAAAATTAGATCTCCAGAAACAACTCAGTTAGGTCACCTTAGGTGGCTCATGATCTCTTGTGCTGCTACCAATTCTGTCAACTGCTCTTGATCTTAACTACAGACCCAACTCTGCAAATTGCTGGAGAGAAAAGCCTCCTGTCTTCCCAGGATCATTCAAATTTTCTATAATTTAGATACAAATCCAACCCCCAGAGAGCTGGTTCACAAGATCCATAAAGAAATGCAAACTAATTTTTAAAAGAAAAATATATAATCCATTGCTTATTGTAATCTGTAATAGCTAAAATGAAATTAAAAGAGAATGCCAAAGCAGACCTTAATGCTAGAATAAGCTCAGATTTTGATGAGTGTGAACTCAGACCACTAACCTCAAAACCACCCCTCAAGAGAAAAATTATGTTGGGAACAAGATAAATTATCTCTACAACGTCTGATCCAAGAGGGCAGTTAACATGAGAGAAGGTATATTAGTCCATTCTCATGCTGCTAATAAAGACGTACCTGAGACTGGGTAATTTATAAAGGAAAGAAGTTTAATTGACTCACAGTTCCGCAAGGCTGGGGAGGCTTCAGGAAACTTACAATTATGGCAGAAAGGGAAGCAAACATATCCTTCTTCAGATGGCAGCAGAAGAGAGAAAAAGGGCAAAAGGGGAAAAACTCTTTATAAAATCATCAGATCTTGTGAGAACTCACTCACTATCATGAGAACAGCAGCATGGGGAGTAACCACTCCTATGATTCAACCTCTCACTAGGTCCCTACCAAGACACATGGGGATTATGGGAACTACAATTCAAGATTAGATTTAGGTGGAGACAAGGCCAAACCCTATCATTCTGTGCCTGGCCCCTCCCAAGTCTCATGTCCTCACATTTCAAAACACAATTATGCCCTTCCAACAAGTCCCTCAAAGCCTTAACTAATTCCAGCATTAACTCAAAGTCCAAGTCCAAAGTCTCATCTGAGACAAGGCAAGTCCCTTCTGGTTATAAGCCTGTAAAATCAAAAGCAAGTTAGTTACTTCCTAGATACAATGGGAGTACAGCATTGGGTAAATACACCCATTCCAGATGGGAGAAATTGGCCAAAACAAAGGTGTTGCAGGACCCATGCATGTCCGAAATCCAGCAGGGCAGTCAATTCTTAAAGCTCATAAATGATCTCTTTTGACTCCATGTCTCAAATCTAGGTCAAGCTGATGCAAGAGGTGGGCTCCCATGGCCTTGGGCAACTCCATCCTTGTGGCTTTGCTCCCCTCCTGGCTGCTTTCACAGGCTGGCATTGAGTGTCTCCAGCTTTTCCAGGCACACAGTGCAAGCTGTCAGTGGGTCTATCATTCTGGAGTCTGGAGGATGGTGACCCTCTTCTCACAGCTCCACCAGGCAGTGCCCCAGTGGGTACTCTGTGTAAGGGCTCCAACACCACATTTTTCTTCTGCACTGCCCTAGCAGAGATTCTCCATGAGGGCTCTTGCCAACCCAGCAAACTTCTTCCTGGACATCCAGGCACATCAATACATCCTCTGAAATCTAGGCGGAGGTTCTCAAAGCTCAGTTCTTGTCTTCTGCACACCCACAGGACCAACACCATGTGGAAGCTGCCAATGCTTGGGGCTTGCACTCTCTGAAGCGGTCTGTACCTTGGCCTCTTTTAGCCAAGGATGGAGCTGAAGCAGATAAGACACCAGGCACCATGTCCCAAGGCTGCATAGAGCAGGGGGGCTCTGGGCTTGGCCCAGGAAACTGTTTCTCCCTCCTAGGCCTCTGGGCCTGTGATGGGAGGGGCTGCTGTGAAGACCTCTGACATGCCCTGGAGACATTTTCCCCATTGTCTTGGTGATTAACATTTGGCTCCTTCTTACTTATGCAAATTTCTGCAGCCTGCTTGAATTTCTCCTCAGAAAATGGGTTTTTATTTTCTATCACATTGTCACTGTCTCTGAACAGGAGTGAACTGAGGGGGAAGCACTTGCTAGACCAGTGTTGTTAGCTGCAATCTGAAGCAACACAGTGGCTGAACCTAATATTCCTTCCAAAATTGAAAAAGTTTGGTTGTAAATGGAGAAGACAAATAATAGCTAAGAGTAAAGCAATAAACAAATGGGTTTTGTAATGAGGCAAATCTAATATTATATCAATACTGTGAAAGAGTCTAAGAGCAAGAGATGATATTGTTATAAGTTCCACGATGTTGATTATTTTATATGTTTTATCTACTATTACATAACTACCATCTGAAACATAATAGGTATATAATAGGAAAGCCATAAATATCTATAAAGTGAAAGAATAATTGGGTCTGATAAAAAGATAGCCATTTTGTTACAATAAGGCCTCAGAATGAAGAAAAACACAGAAGTCTATTCCTATAACTGGGGGCCCAGAATATCAAGGCTCAAACTGAGAAACTTGCACACACACTCATCATAGTATCAGCACCAGAGAGCAGTAAATGTGGACTTTGGCATGGCAAACACTTTGCATTGGATAGTGAAAGTCACATTACAGGTCAACAGTGGTCATGCTGAGACAGAGAGACAGAAGCAATTAAAACCAAGACCTGCCATATTACAGTATAGGGGTACATATAAGTTGATCAAGAAGTTTCTGTCTCAAAACTTTAGAAATCTTGTTGGGACTGAAAGCACTGGTGGAGCTTGTAGGAAAATAGAACAAAAAAAGAACGAAATAGAAAGGCATGAAACGTACTACTTAGTATTTTATTTTGCAAGTAATGTGTTTCTTGTGTCTTCTCCTCCTCCCCCATTCAATTGCATTGTGTCCTTTTCAAGACAATAGCTATTAAATATATTAATTTTTATACCATACTGTGTCTAAATCCACAATATGAAGAATTTAAGGGCCCAATTGATTGATGAAGGAAACTGAAATCTCAACCTGAACAGAATGCAGCTCTTTCTCTCCTACTTTTGGCTTAGGAGGTGTATCTCCAGCTTTTTGTGATGAGGTTGTTCTCTATTCTTAGGTTAAGCAAAGGTAAACATATGTTAACCTTGTTAGTTATTCTGGGAATCCCAGGTCCTCCTCCCCAATCTTATTAGTGCTCCCTTTACCTCCTTGTTCCTTAGAGTGTAGATGAGGGGATTAAGAGTTGGGGTTACTACAGTGTAGAAAAGAGTGAGAAATTTGCCCCATTCATGAGGATAGTGATTTTTTGGTTGAAGGTAGACACCTGTGACAGTGCCATAAAAGAGAGAAACCACAAGAAGGTGAGAGATGCAGGTGCCAAATGCTTTCTTCTGTCCTGCAGTTGACTTAATTCTCAGCACAGCCTTAGCAATAGCACCAGAAGAGGAAAGGATAATGATCAAGGGCATCACCAGGAGGACAACACTGGCGATAGACATCTGAATTTCACTGTAGGTAGTATCAGTACTGGAGAGCTGAATCAGAGCTGGGACTTCACAAACAACATCATCCACCATCCGCTGGGAGCAGAAGGGTAACCGGAGGGTGGCAGGGGACTGGATCAGAGACTGGGCCAAGCCAGTCCCCCATGCCAAGATAGCCAGCTGCAGACAAAGTTTTGGGTGCATGATCATGGTATTTTGCAGTGGATGACACACTGCTACATAACAATCCACAGCCATGACAACAAGAAGGACATATTCCGTGGCCCCAAGCCACAAAAAAACATAGAGTTGAATGGCACAGCCAATGTAGCTGATGGTCTTTTCTGGGCCCCAGAAGTTAATCAACATCTGTGGAACACAGCTGCTGGTCAAACAGAGGTCTACCAAGGAAAGGTTGGAAAGAAAGAAATACATAGGGATGTGGAGTTTTGGATCCTTCAAGGACACAAGAACTATGACCATATTTCCTGCAAGAGTCAAAAAATAAAAAATAAAAATGATCCAAAAAGTATCTTCTCCAAATGTGGCTTGTTAGAGAAGCCCAGAAGGATGAAATCACTGTGGCTGTCATTGCAAATTATAATCATAGCTACTGGGGCAAATGCCTCTCTGGGGAACGGTTCAAAAGTAGTTCCTCAAAAGCCTGTGATGGTTCCAGTACAGACAGGAAGACGGGTGGTATATGACTTGTTTGATTCCTTTCTACTCAAGGATAAGATTTTCACCAGCTGTATTTTGGGAAAAAATACAAGATTTAGTGAAGTGCTTTAATCTTTGATATTCATCATTCACTCTCTCTCTTCCTCTTTTACATCTTCCTCATATTTTGTCTCTGATTAAAATTGTTCATTATAAATATTATATAAAATACATGTAAGCACCTGCTAGTGAAAATCACTTTGCTAAATATTAGATGTGTTTCATCTGTGCTCTCAAAGAGTATACATTTACCACATTTATTACATAGTTCTAATCACTGCCTATTAGCTTTATAACTTTCTCTATTTCTTTTGTTCTCTTATTTCTCTGTGACCTTGTATCTTGATTTATTTCACTCTCTGTCTCCCATGTTTCTCTCTTTTTTGCTTCCCCTCTTCTCTCCCTGGATCTTCTCCCTTTATCTTCTCTTTTTTCTCTCTCATTCTCCTCTTCTCCATTCCTCCTTTTCACTCTGTCTGTTATTGATGAGCTTGAATTCTCCCTCAGCCACCTTCATGCTGTGTGATGTTAGGAAAAGTAGTTAACATTTTTGTTCTTACTTTAGTTCTTTCCTTAGATTTTGTATTTGGAAAATGAGCAAAATTAAAAACCTACATATGCTTGTTGGAGAGATTAAATGTGCAAATGTGGGAAATACTAAAAAGTGTTCTTGGCACAAAGTAACTGTTCAATGTAAGTTAGCAATAATTATCATGATGATGAAACTGTTCAATGGATTGTTCCAGAAACCAAAATTTATTACCAAAGTTTTGCAGAGCATGAGTAAAAATAACATCTAGAAAAAAGAAACATTATATTTCTACATGACCTTCTTTGATGAAGAATGATAAAGTACATTAAAGAAAACCAAAAGCTTGAAATTAGATGAAAATATTTAAAATCATTAACAATAATAACTGTGTCAAATAGATCACTCAAGCCATAATTCTAAGAAAAATTATGACATAATCTGATATTTACTATTACATCAACATACATTGTGGTGAATTCTCAATCACACTTTAATGCAGTTTGAGCAACATGATGGTATATCATGCAATTACATATGTAAAGTTTTTACATCAATATATGCTTTTGCTTTTACAAAGCTTGCTGGAGGTTATTTTCTGAATATCCTAGCCCTGTTGTCTCCTATCTACCAACCATATTCTTACCCACCTATGATAAATCACATTTAACTTTATCAACACACTAGAAGCAAATTCATTTGAAGTTCTCTCAATCAGTAATTCTCATGCTTAAAGGGTATTAATCTACTGGTAAACCCTCAAGTACAATGTCCCAGGGCATTAAGATGCACTGACCCTCATGGCTTAAATTTCACCATAATTTTACTCATGTTTGTCTTTACTATGCTGTGCATTCTAGAAAATCTATATATTCTCTGTTTTGTGTGTGTGTTATTTTTCCTTTATTTTATTTAGAATTTTTCAAATTAGTGATGAAATGTTACCACTTTGGTTGTGAATTTGAGTTTGATATTATATTAAAGTAGAAGAGTAGTTTGATGTTTTAAAGAATCTCAGTCTTGTAGATTTTTCCATGTTCAGAATCAACCTGCCTCTTATCCCACCCTTCGATTTTCATCCACTTCATAACCACTAACTACTGGTTTCGTTTTTTGTCTATTCAGATTGCTTTTCCTTTCCCCATTTTCTTTCTTGTATATTATCACCTGCAGGTCTCTATCTAGCTATTTTTATATATGTATGCATCCATATGTCTTATCTCTTCCAGTTCCTTTTAAATTACTAATCATTGAAGTAGATGCTTTTTTTTTTCCCCCTGGATCAACTATTTGTAAAAGGTCCTTGGTTAGGGGAGACAGTCTTAGACTAGATGGTTTTTACTATGCAAAATTCAAGAATACTCTTAATCTCTGCTTCTCTTGAGATTATCTTCTTCCTGCAAATATAGTTTTCCCTGTGATTTTATTTTAGTTGGCCTCCTCTGCTTTTCAGAACACTATCTGGGGGAGTTCATGGTAAAAGCCAGCACACCTCCATTCCTATGGTTGTAAATGTAAAATACAGCATTTCTATCTCACCTTCTAAAGTAGATGCCTCTAGTACCAGTGTATCACATCTCTTCAGCCCAGCTCTAATTTCAGCAGAGCTGCAAGGGACAGTTGTGTGTGAACTCAGATTATCTCACACATACTGACAGTGACCTACCTCAAGTATGCTGTATAGGGCTTCCCTTGGCCCCAAGGCTTGTCTGACACCATGGGAGCCCATTTGGCATATAGACAAGTGCTGCCTAGAAGTACAAAATGCTTAATGACCCTAGGGGAAATCCTCCAACAATGAAGAATTTTAACTAGGAATAAATGGTCCAGCAGCTCTCCCTTCAGGCAAAAACATCCTGTGTGCTTTTCAGAAGGCCTTTAGAGAACTGAGCTCTCATTACACACAACCTGGCTAATGCATCCCTAAATTAACTTTCTTTCTTAAATGTTTCACTCTTCTTGTTCCCTGTATACATATAATACATATGTATTATATATTATACATGTATTTTATATATTACATATATAATGTATATATTTTATATATAGATATATATATAGAGAGAGAGATGAGAATGGAGTTTCCCAGGAAGCCGACTCAGGGATGGAGATCAGCATTTAGAAAGTTTACTAGGGAACATTTTTTGGATCAACATCTTTCAAAGGAAAGGGTGGGTAGCATGATTGAGGAAAGGAAGTAATGCAAACTACCTACTTTGGAAGTTTGTAATGCAAACTACTAAAGTTTCACTGAACCCTGTAGGAAGTTCTCAATATGAGATGACAATTCATTGATGTTCTGAGCTGAGGCCAACGGCAAGCCTTAAATCTCCTTGTTGGTCAGTGTTGAATGCAGATTACATGGAAAAGGGCCATATGTTTAGATGAAGCAACTCTGTTTAGCTGAGGCAACCCAGAAAGAAGGATCTCAGCTGAGCTCTATCTACCTGTAGCACATCTAGCAGCTGAAGTAATAATGCCTTCATTCTGAAAGTGTTATCTGAGTAAAGCATTATAACTTCCAACACTGTCTATTCCTTTAATTTCAGATCTACTCCTTTGTATAAGATCTGGTGTGGGGTGGGGGAGGGGGCAGGGATAGCATTAGGAGATATACCTAATGTAAATGACGAGTTAATGGGTGCAGCACACCAACATGGCACATGTATACACATGTAACAAACCTGCACGTTGTGCACATGTACCCTAGAACTTAAAGTATAAAAAAATTAATTAATTAATTGATTAAAAAAGATCTGGGAAAAGCTCTTACAGGGCTATAGTGGGCCTCTGTATCTGGAGGAAACTTAGAAGAGGACCACCACTGCGGCTGGTCTTAAGTCCTACAAACTATGGTCACCATCTCCTTCTTACTATTCATTCTGTGTTGCTCTCACCCTTATCTGGCACCTCTCCTGCTCTCAGTGGTTTACCTGGTGTCATGATCCGGAAGTGTCTGAGCCCCTGATCACTATGGCTTTTTTTAGTTAATCTCATTGCCTTTGGTCATTTACCATCATAATTAAACAAAGTATACACTTCCTAGTGTACCTTTTGTACCCCCTAGTGGGAATATTTCCCTTTAGAGAGCTAGAACCTCTAAACTCACAGAGCTTATAATTGTGGAGAAAAAAAACACAAATTTCTCAAATGAGTTACTGGTAGGGATTCTAAGAAGGGCTTTCACCTTTTGGTTTCTAAACCATGCATTCTTCCTAGTGAGGACACAGCACCATAGAAAGATAATTGATTTAAAGTACTGGGTCTTGAAGGATGACATTTCATCTGAGCTGGAATTTCAGGTGTAGCTTCAACAGATCCCTCCATGACTCTAATAGATCACTTATGATAGTGCAATATGTGATATGGCCAATGGATTCCATGGTCATAAGTCCACTCCTACACTTTCTTTGCCATTAAGTCGGCCCTTTTTTCTGATACAATGGTATGTGGGATCTCCTGCTGCTGCGTCAAACATCCTATAAGCCTTTAGACAGTCATGCTGGCTGAGAACTTATGTTCAGGAATAGAAACCCATGCCTGGAGTATGTGTATCTATTCCTACCAAAAAAAATTGCTACATTCAAAGTAGAAAAAGTCCAGTGTCATCAACTTGACATTAAATAACTGGTTGATCTTTTGATGGGAAACTATTTTATCCAGTCATTGCATGGGACACTTATTGATGGAAGACTGGATGTTTGACCAGTGGCTATAATGCATGCTGTTAAACCCATGCATTGCTTCTATCCCTACTATCATGGTGGCTTCATTCATAAGCTCATTGCTCTAGCATTGCAGGTAGGATAATGAGGGCAAATGTCAGAAGCTCTTGACAATAACTGCTCACCAAGTCACGTTTTCTACCTAGTTGCTTAATTCATTTTCTATGATGGATTCCATCTTGTAGTTTTAGCATGTAATACAAATAATGCAACACTTCATACCTTCACTCTTATATGTTTATGCATGTGCCTCTGTTCCAGACTTCTTTTTTCCAAGTGTTTCTATCTTTTTCTTTCCAGCCACCTGAAAAGCCTCCTAAGCCATTTATCACTACCTATGAGTTATACATATTCTAACTTCAAACTACTTCTCTTTCCACACAAAGTGAATGACTGGGTACCATCTGAAACTCTGTCCATTGGGAGGCGTTTTCCTCACTACTATTTTTCAAGATCACCGTAAGCGAGGCTATAATTTATCTTCATCCTTTTTGACTTGGACTCACATACCAAGCTGACCCATTAATGAACCAAGCTTGACATTTTTCTCCTCCATTAGAGTTGGAAGTGTTCTCTCTTGGAGGCGTAAGTGTGGTCTGAAGAAGAGATATTGATGCAAAAGTGGTGAATAGCATGAAGTCCTGGGCTACTTGCTCATACTGTTTGCCTCTGCCCTCTAGTCATGCTGTGGTCAATCCTGGATGTACTAATGCCGTGTTACAGTGATTGCTCTGTATCCACTCAACCTAATAACTTGATGGTTCAGACAGTCCCCAGCTCATATGGGTAGTTTTGCCTGCATGGTTATTTGTTGTTCCATGGTCAGATGTTATTTCTCTACCCAGAATTCAGTAAAACACCAGGGCTTTATTTTTGAAATGTATACAATCCTGTGCTGTAGATAGCAGAGTTTTATCAAAACCCTAAGAATTTTGTTATGATCTTCCCATAAACTTGCCATAAATTCCACCTCATTTATGGTGAAATTTAGACTTGCTATAGAGCCCATTCTTACCCTGAAGGCCATTCAAATACAGCACCTAGTGGATGAATTAGAACAGTACTCGATAGTGTCAAATATGCTTACTACAAAGTACAGAGAGGTCTGCCAGGCACTTTGCTTCTTTTTTATGATAGGAAATGCATAATGCAAAAATGTATCCTTTACTTTAGATAGAATGTCTCATAGTGCCCCAGACCAATAAACACTTAAAACTTTTATGCTTTAGGTCCCTGAATCTTTATGGAGTGCAACACTCACTCTCTGGATCACATGTGTCTTATCAAGGCTTTTAATGTATTGACCACTTCTTGTTCATATTGTCTGATACGCATGATGTGTTAGATATAGTTGGCCAGTGTGACGGCCTACAGAATATACAGCTAGTCCCGTTCTCTTCAGTATTTTATGATGGAAGATGAAAAACCTAGCATAGCTCTGGGACATGGTATAGTATTGTCAGCTCCAAGTGAGTGCAAACTCCCTGATCATGTTTCCTGATAAGGATGAAAAAGAAAACATTTACCAGATCAATGTATGCATACGGGGTACTCAGTAACATGCTAATATACTCTATCAAGGATAACATATCTCTTCCAGCAGATTCAATTGGGGCTACTACTTATTTCAATCTGTGGTAATTTGCTACTGTCATCCCAATATCTGTCTGATTTATTTCAGGGGTCTGACTGCTAATGCAAATGAAGATATGACAGGAAGTACCACTATTGTATACCTTAGGATTTAAAGGGGAATAGGGAAAATAAAAGCAACTTTACAACCCTGAGGATAATTTAGGATTCAACATTAAAATTGAAAAGATATAAGGAAAATCAAAAGAGGAGGCATATATATATATATATACACACACACATATGTATATCTCTTCAATGATGTTTGTGAGATTTATGCTTTTATAAGTTGTCTAAAATTACTTTTCTATTATAATTCAAGTCCAAACAATTCTATTCCTTTTAAAAGCAATTCGAAATATGTATTTGTTATATACTAACACTTCTAAAAATTTTTTTTCTTGAGACAGGGTCTTGCTTTGTTGCCCCAGCTGGAGTGCACTGGCACAATCTTGGCTCACTGTGACCTCCACCTCCCAGGCTCAAGCAATCCTCCCACCTCAGTCTTCAGAGTAGCTGACACTATAGGTATGCACCACCATGCCTGGCTAATTTTTTTTTTTTGCATTTTTAGTAGAAACAGGAGTTCATCATGTCACCCAGGCTGGTCTCAAACTCCTGAATTCAAGTAATCCTCCCACTTCAGCCTCCCAAAGTGCTAGGATTACAGTGTAAGCCACCTCACCCAGCCTATACTAATACTTTTAATTCACTGACATCATTTCTGATAAACAGTCTAAAAGAGATCACATATGGAAAGCACTTTATTCTGAATGATCTATAGTATAAGGTGACAAATTCAGAAAATATATTTAATTGTAGAAGAATGAGAAAGTATATATATGTACATATATAATGTATATATGAATTATTAATTTAAAAAAGAATGTTACATAGCTTCAAAAACTGCATATCAAGAAAATTTTATAAATTAGAAAATGATTGTTTTACATATGTCAGTTTACAATTTATAAAAATACATGATATGGCCGGGAGGTGGCTCACACTACAGGTGAGGTCCCAGCACTTTGGGAGGCCAAGGCAGGCAGATCATCTGAGGTCGGGAGTTCGAGACCAGCCTGACCAAGATGGAGAAACCCCGTCTCTACTAAAAATACAAAATTAGCCAGGCATGGTGGTGGGTGCCTGTAATCCCAGCTACTCAGGAGGCTGAGGCAGGAGAATTGCTTTAACCCAGGAGGCGGAGGTTGCAGTGAGCCGAGATCGTGCCATTACACTCCAGCATGTGCGAAAAGAGCAAGACTCCATCTCAAAACAAAAAAATGATACACAAAAGAAAAGTAAGGGGAAACAAATACATTAAAATACGAGCATGTGGCCAGGTGCCATGGCTCACACCTGTAATCCCAGCACTTTGAGAGGCCAAGGCAGGTGGATGGCCTGAACCCAGGAGTTGGAGACCAGCCTGGGCAATGTATTAAAACACCATCTCTACAAAAGATACAAAAATTAGCTGGGCTTGGTGGCGTGCACCTGTGGTACCAGCTACTCAGGCAGCTGAGGCGGGAGGATGACCTCAGCCTGGGAAGTCGAGGCTGCAGTGACCTGTGATCGCACCACTGCACTCCAGCCTGGGCCATGGGAGTGAGATCCTGTCTTAAAAACAAAACAAAACAAAACAAAACAAACAAACAATATATATCCAGGCTATATCCAGGCTGATACTAGATATTTAATTTAATTATAATTTTCTTTATTTCACTGAAAATCTTTGGTGAGCACTTATTAAGTTATACATTGCATAAATCTTCTTATTTTCAAAAACTATTCCAGTTGCAATCTCATTATTTCTACTTGTTCTGCTCCAGTGAATTAATGCTAACCTTAAACTTCAGTGTGTTAATTTATGTTAAATGACATCATATGATATAAATAATATTTTAACCACAGATCTTTGGGAGATTTAGTCCAAGCATATTCATCACAAAAAAATCAGTAAACAATAGAAATACCATTTTCCTATATACACCATCAAAAGACTCCCTATTTGACCCTGAGACCAAGTCCTACAAAACAGAATCCAAACTCCTAAGTATGGTTTGCAAAATTCCACCCAACTCCACTGCCTAGTCCCTGCCTAACCATGAACATTCTCACAATATGCTGCTAAGTGAAAAAGCAGGCTATAAAGCAATATGTACATCTTATGCTAAATGAATAAGCCAGACCTAAAAGGGCAAAAATTGTATGTTTCCAATAATATGAAATATCTGGAACATGCAAATTCATACAGACATAAGGTAGGTTGAAAGTTACTAGGGGATGGGGGAGGGGAATGGAGAGTTATCACTAAGGGTTAGAGTTTCTGTTTGGGATGACGAAAAAGTTTAGAAAATAGTGGCAAGATTTACACAATAGTATGAATATAATTAACACCATTAAATTGTACACTTAAAAATAGTTAAAATGGCAAATTTTATGTTATATATTACCACAATGTTATAAATTAGTAATGAAATATACCAAAAATCATTGACTTGTACACTTTAAATGGGTGAACTGTATTGTAAATAAATTATATCTCAATACAGCTATAAAATTTAAAAATGAAAAATAAAGAAATTTGTGGCTGTATGTTTATTTAGCCTTATGCTCTTCAAATTAATACATTCCAAACCTATTTTTCATAGTTCATGTTTTATAACTCTAATCTTCACCCTAGTTTTAGAATTTGTGAACTACCTATGTGTCAGTATTATGCCACCAGTGCAATTGGGAATAGAGTTAACTTATTGCCTCTGGGGACACAATGACCAATTAAACTTGAGGGACTCAGAATCCCTAAGGTTAAAATAAAGGACACAACATTGTGAGAATAGTAGGACTTTAATAAATACTGGCTGGTTTTATTAAAAGCCACAACCTTCTCTCTGTGACAGTGCAAATGTTACTAATGTCTATAAAATCAGCTTCTCATTGTGGAAATCCATTAGGAACCTGGCAAGGACAGCCCATGTCAGTCAAAAATATCCCGGTGACTGAAGACATTATCTGTAACACACTTTTACCTCATCTTAAGATTTTTACTTATATGTTCTTAAGGCAGTGCAAGATACATGATAATTTTATTCTCAATCTGTGGGCAAAAGGTAGTTGAGTCAGAATGGCAAAAGAGTTGAAAGCTCAAAACATCATTGCATGTATCAGTCTTTGCACCAGACTTCCTTGAAACACAACACAAAGAAAGGCATGGATATCTCTAGGACACTTAGAATAAAGGCGAGTGGTGTCTACCACAGAGAATTATGTTACCATGATTGGGAAGGGTCTTTCAAGATCATCTAACCTACATCATTACCTCTGGGTTGCATCATGTTAAGTAATCAGAATGTCCAATTTGTTTCCAGGGAACCTTGAAATAAATATCAAGTATTTTTAGTGATTCCAAAAATCCTTCTTATCCTTTGAAACTTTTGAATGAAAATTTGCTTATTATATCTCCACACATAAAAAAGTCAGTGGGAATTTTTTAATTGAAAAAGAATCAGTGGTATTTGAGGTTTCTTTTGATATATGCAGGATGCATAAATAAGAAAAGGTTTAAGATAACAGTGGAATCACCATTCTCTTGTCAAGGGATAAGTTTATTTACTGATAATGCAAAAAAAAAAAAAAAAGAATTGATAAATGAACTGGCACCAGTGCCATATAAAAGGTGAAGAGGAGTAGAGGCTGTGAAAATAATAGAATAAGAAGGAAGAGCTGCTGAGTCAATTACTGTTATCAGCTATGCCCTTCAGATAACCAAATATCTCCTACTATTGACTTGACTTTCACTTATGAGGAAACTATGTTCTCTGCACTATGCTAGAAACAAAGAAGTGACATATACATTTAATCATTTCATATCATAATATTATAAAATTACAATAAGCACTGGGATTACCAATAATAAATTATATCTCTGCTTTTTCATACACATGACAAGCTGAAATAATGACTCAATATTATGAGTAATGATTATTACTAATGATTAATGCTAATCATACTATTAATGATAACTGGCTTACATTCATTAGATCCTTCCTATGTTTCAGGCACTGTCCAAAATCTAGATGTGTATGCACTGGCTCATTGAAGTCTCACAATAATTCCCTTTTTTATAAAACAGGTTTTAAAAACAGCATGGTACTGGTACCAAAACAAATATATAGACCAATGGAACAGAACAGAGGCCTCAGAAATAACACCACACATCTACAACCATCTGATCTTCCATGAACCTGAAAAAAACAAGCAATGTGGAAAAGATTCCCTATTTAATAAATGGTGTTGGGAAAACTGGCTAGCCACATGCAGAAAACAGAAACTGGACCACTTCCTTACACTTTATACAAAAATTAACTCAAGATGGATTAAAGACTTAAACATAAAACCTAAAACCATAAAAGATTTAGAAGAAAACCTAGGCAATACCATTCAGGACATAGGCATGGACAAAGACTTCATGACTAAAACACCAAAAGCAATAGCAACAAAAGCCAAAATAGACAAATGGGATCTAATTAAACTAAAGAGCTTCTGCACAGCAAAAGAAACTATCATCAGAGTGAACAGGCAACCTACAGAATGGGAGAAAATTTTTGCAATCCATCCATCTGACAAAGGGCTAATATCCAGAGTCTACAAAGAACTTAAACAAATTTACAAGAAAAAAACAACCCCATCAAAAAGTGGGCAAAGGATATGAACAGACACTTCTCAAAAGAAGACATTTATGTAGCCAACAAACATGAAAAAAGCTCATCATCACTCATCATTAGAGAAACGCAAATCAAAACCACAATGAGATTCCATCATACGCCAGTTAGAATGGTGACCATTAAAAAGTCAGGAAACAACAGATGCTGGAGAGGATGTGGAGAAATAGGAATGCTTTTACATTGTTGGTGGGAGTGTAATTAATTCAACCATTGTGGAAGACAGGGTGGCAATTCCACAAGGATCTAGAACCAGATCCAGAAATATCATTTGACCCAGCAATCCCATTACTGGGTTTATACCCAAAGGATTATAAATCATTCTACTATAAACATGCATGTACATGTATGTTTACTGTGGCATTCCACAATGGTTGAATTAATTTACACTCCCACAAGGATCTAGAACCAGAAATATCAGCAAGCATGCCTGGCTGTGTGCAGTATCCAGGCTGGTAATGTAAGCTGAGCACAGGCTGCCAGGCTGAGTGGGCCAGTGGGCCTGAGCAAAACCCCAGCATAAGTGCCACTAGCCACAGAGGTTTTCAGCTGGTGAAGTGATAACCCAAGGATCCCGTAACATAACCATTAGAAAACATTGGACAAACCATGATTGAAGTGCATTCTGTAAGATACCTGAGCAGTACTCAGAATTATCAACATCATGAAAAACAAGATAACAGAGATTCAGGAAACTGAAACACATGACAACTAAAGGCAATGGAGTGTCCTGGATGGGATTCTGCAACAAAAAAAGGATGTTAAAGAAAATCTTGCTGAAATCCAAAGATAGTCTAGAGTTTTGGTAGTAGTAACATACCAATGTTAGTTTCTGAATTTTGAAAAATGTACCAGAGAAATGTAACATTAAGTGAAAGTGAAACTGGTTGAGGTGTATATGGGAATTCTTTGCCATCTTTGCAACTTTTCTGTAAAGCTAAAATTATGACAAAATAAAGCATGTATAAAAAATGTGTTACACAGATGGGAAGGGACAAGATGTCCAATTAGTTGCAGCCAGGAAGCACTGCTTTCACCGAGAGAGACCAAATTATTGAGTTAATCAACATAAATTGGTTGATTTAATCATCTCAGCCCAAAATCTCCTTAAGCTGATAAGCAAATTCAGCAAAGTCTCAGGATACAAAGTCAATGTGTGATCTTAGGAGAGAAAACACTGAGTGTATGGAGAAGCAAAGCTGAAGCTGAGGCTGTAGAGTCAGAAATCTGGAAACCCTGAAGTGGTACCTGAATGCCAGGGCTAGTTCCCAGCCCCAGATGGCTCCTGGGAAATTGGTGAGCCAGGGAACTGAGGGACAGCTCACTCTTGTCATGTACCTCTGGGATCCTAGCTATGAGAGACCCCATATCCCCCATAAATGTGTTAGCTGGCAGGGGTATCTCCCTGGGGAACAGGCAGAGACAGTACTTCAGACAGTGCAGAGCCTGGGAGCTTTTGTGTGCTGGGCAGCTTTGGTGGAGGGTAGCCATAGACACACATCCCTGAGAGCTTCCCATCTCCCTCTGCAAGGCTCTTGACTCAGCTGACTGTCAAGCCAAAGGAGAGCAGGGCTGGCTTCCCTATGGGACTAAGACACATCTGTTCTGCAAGCCCTCCTGCCTGCAGGCTCCTCTCAGGTCCTATGCCTAGCTGCCCTGGAGAAGCAGGTGCATTGTGCAGCTTGCACAGCCCAGCTGAATGCCTTGCTTCACCTGAGTACTTTCCCAGCAACCCAGAAGCATATCAGATCCCACAGTGCAGCCAGAGCCCAACCCTGAGCTGCAGGATGTCCTGGTGCTACCTGGGTTTCTAAGCACAGCTTGGGATTATCAAGCCAAGATATGTGACCCACACTAAGTTAGGTGAGTTAGCTTAATAAAAAAAAAAAAAAAGAAAGAAAAGAAAAAAATTCCATCCAATATCCCTGATGAACATAGAAGGAAAAATCCTTGAGAAAATACTAATCAAACAAATCCAGCAGCACATCAAAAAGTTAATACACCACAATCAAGAAGGCTCTATTTCTGGCATGCAAGATTGGTTGAACATCTGCAAATCTACAAATGTGATTCACCACATAAACAGAATTAAAAGGAAAAGCCATATGATCATCTCAATAGATGCTGAAAAAGCTTTTGGTAAAATCCAATATCTCCCAACATACTGCAGTATGTTTACTGTGGCAGGTGTGTATGAGGGAGCAAGTGTGGGGTCCAGCTACTGCACACAGCCAGGCATGCTTGCTGCAGCAGGGCAGGCAGTTCCAGGCACTGACAGGGGTGCCATCTCCCTGCAAGTCTGCGGCTGGACCAGGTGTACTGCAAGCAGCTTCCGCACCAGGAACCACAGAACCACCCAAAAGGGTGTCACAGCCCTGGCTCAGGGAGCTCCTAGGTCTGGGCTCCCCAAAGAGTTGCATCTCTTATCTCCTTTATGTCAACCACAATGAGGTGAGGAAAGGGCATGTTTCAGCCCTGTTTGTGTGACAGCTCTTTCAGCCATGCCATTCAGTGGGTCCCAAGTTCTTGTCCCACACTCACGAGGTATGTGGATAAGTGGAGGGTGAGTAAGGTGAAGAGGAGCTTTATTGAACAATAGAACAGCTGAGAGGAAACCCGCTCCTCTCCATAGCCAGGGTGTCCTAACGAGTGTTCAGCTCTCCGCAGAGAGGAGACCCTGGAGTGGGTAGCTCCTCTCCTCAGACAGGTCATCCCACAGAGTGTTCAGGTCTCAGCAGAAAAGAGACCCTAGGGTAGGTAATTCCTCTCTGCAGCTGGTTGTCCTGACATCTTTTTGTGTCTGGCTGAGTCTGGGAATTTTTATGGACTTCAGAGGAAAGGAAGTGCTTGCTGATTGGTCCTTGGGCAGCCACGGGCAGGCTTGGAAAAAGCATCGTAAGTCCCCACTCCAGTCTGCGAGGCTGGCAGCCCGTCTCCCAGGCTTCAATCCTTCCCTGAGTTGAAGGTGGGGCCTCACCGGGGACCCGTCCCTTTCTGCCCAGGAGCCTGTGGGCCTCCTGCCACTGTTGACGGTGCCCAGGCTGTTCCTGCCAAGAGGCACCTGCAGGCCAGCGCCAAGCTGCCCTCAGCAGCACCCCCTCCAGCCTCCCTCCCTTGCTTACTGGTGCCCAAAGCCCAGAGGGGGCTGAGGTGGCAGAAGACTGGCATGTCAGTGCTGCCCCAAGTGTGGGCACACCAGGCCAGGTTGCAATAGCACCTGGGCCTGGCCTCAACCACGCTCCGAGATCAGAGCACGCACCAGGAGCAGGGAGAGATCAGACACCAGGAGCAGGCACCTCCAAGCCTGCGGGGGCAAAAAGGGCTTTCCCAGGCCCCCAAGAGTGCAGAGATGCCCGGGTCTGCCGCTGCAGCTTGGGCATCTGCAGCTGCGCCCAGGAGGGCAGGGCTCTTACTCCTGGCACCCAAGAACACAGGGATGCCCAGGTTTGTAGACACAGCTTGAGCAGCTGCAGCTGCACCAGGGAGGGTGGGGCTTCTGCCTGCTCCTGAACCCCAAGCGCACAGGGATGTCCTGTCCACAGCCGCTGCTGGGCAACTGCAGCTGAGCCTGGGGAGCACAAGGCTCTTGCCCTGTCAACTCATAAGGGGTTGGGGCTTCCGCCTGTTCCCGGCTCCAGGGGCTCCACGGAGCGCACAGCCACACCTGCATCTCCCCTACTACAGCCGGCATCACAGTCCAGATGGGTTTCAGCTGCCATCAATTACACTGGGCCTTTGAATTTTTGCAGAGGAGACCACAGAGGTAAAGTGCCCTTTTTATCCCATCAGAGCAGGGGTTACATAATATCTACATGGCATCACTGATGGTGCTGACTTTAATCACTTGGTTAAGGTAGTGTTTTCACTAAATAAAACTGAAACTTACAATTGTTACCTGTCCATACTCTATTCCTTGGAAGACAGTCACTGAGTCCAGCCTACACTTAACAAAGGAGATCATGAGCTCCACATCTGAAAGTGGGGACTATTAATAGACTAGTAAGGAAGATTTCTCCCTTCTTCTCATTTATGTATTTATTCAATCATTTATTTATAAGAGTATGGACTCATACGTTTTATACTTCAGGTTATAATCCAGTGATATGTTATTTATTTTGTTGTTGAAATTGCTCCAGCTTTACCCATTGAGAGCTCTTTCAAGTTAGCTGCTGGGTCCCTTGGACAGGTCTTCATCCTTTTGTTATCCTTTTCTCTTCAGGGCCCCTCCCTGATTTCTGGTATTACTGGTTCTTCTCCAGGCTTCTCTTATATATTTCTTCACCAGGCTTAGAAATATCTTATAATCAGACATTTCTCCAACGATCTCTGTTTCTTTTCACTGGAAAATGGCATTAGAAAACATTATCTGAGTGTGACATGTGCACATTGCTATGAGGGTAACATTGTTTCTAGGCTATTTCAGCAGAAAGGGCTAGGTAATGTGTGTCTACACAGTAAGCCCTGAATACACACATATCTGTCGTTGTTTCCTTATTTGTCCATCTGTGTGTGTCCATGTGCATTTGGGCTTGTGTTTAAACATGAGGTCATAGTGATAACTCTGACTCTAACACAGTCCCTAATGGTCATTCTGGCCTTCCTTTCTTGCTTCTCTGTAACTTCTCTTACCAACAGGGAGAAACCTGGATGCCACTGTTCATATTTTAATATTTTTGTTCAACTGGTATGCATGTGAAGCAATTACAGAATTAGCTGAACCCGCATGAGAAACAAATTTACTATTCAGAATACCATATTTATGCAAAGTTACTTTTGTCTACAGTCTGACATTTTTTAATCAAAACATTATTTCTCAAGGTAAGTTAGGCCACTTTTTACTTCTTCTCTACCCTTTTCAGTGTTGTTAGCTTACATATTTATATAAAGTGAGGTTGATTTGCCACTGTCATACCATTCTAGGATCTTCCCACATCTTGGTGATATTTTTGCTTGTTTATTTGCATGCATTTGAGTGCAATTTTGTGATACACTACTTAGGGATTAATAAATCATGGACTTGTGTATTACTAGTGCAGCACCATACAAAACAACTCCATCATTTAAAAATTCCCCTGTGTGTCTTCTTTGTAATAAACTAATCTCCCTTACACTAAGCCCTGGATACCACTGATGTGTTTCCATCCCAGTGGGTTTTTTTTCCCCAGATGTCTTATGAATGAAATCATACAATATTCAGACTTTGAAGTCTGGCTTCATTCATTTAGTAAAATACCCTTAACATATATTCATGTTGTTGCATGTATCAGTAGCTCATTCCATCCCATTGATCAATAGTATTCATTGATCAATCAACTTCCACAAAATCATAGATCATTGTGTGGAAATACCCAAGATTATCTTTCCCCTGTTGAAGGGCATGGGTTGCTTACAGTTTGGAGTAATTATGAATGAAACTGATATAAACATTTGCATGCAGATTTTTACACGGACCTAAGTTTTAATTCACTAGGGTAAATACTTAGGAATGTGATTGTTAAGTCATATGGCAAGACTATATTAAACTTTATAAAAATTGCCAAATAGTCAAAGTGGTTGCACCACTTTGCATTTCTACCAGCAATCAAAGAGAGTTTCCCTCACTTTGCATTCTTGCTAGTATTTATTATTTTCAGTGCTTTTGTTTCAGCAACAAAAAAAAATTGTGAGAATTTATTTTTAATTTTGTTATATAAGTACTTTCATAATACTCCAGTTTTGTGTCTTGGTTTACAAAGCCTTAATATTGACTACGTAGCTTTTTATAGGAAAAAATACTGGTATCTGGACTTTCATATAGATTTTCTTAAATCAGTGAGATTTCCATCAGTCAACTTAACTGTAAATCAACTATTACAAGGTTTTTTAAATGTGGGAAATCATGTCTTTGATAAGAACAGGTCAGTTTTTTCATTTTTTTCTCTAAGAATTTTTGTTTTGTGTGTGTGTGTATCTATCACTTAATGTGCATTTGAAAACTTTCTAATTAACTTTTTCTAATACAAATAATCTATGAAACTTTATTCCATTTTCTCAATACAGTTTAGAAATTACTTGAACATTTGGTTAAATGTTCTGAACCTTACTTTCAAATTACATTTTCTTACTAGACAAATGCTTAGACAGTGTGGCGATTCCTCAAGGATCTAGAACTAGAAATACCATTTGACCCAGCGATCCCATTACTGGGTATATACTCAAAGGATTATAAATCATTATACTATAAAGACACATGAACACGTATGTTTATTGTGGCACTCACAATAGCAAAGACTTGGAACCAACCCAAATGTCCATCAATAATACACTGGATAAAGAAAATGTGGCACATATACACAGTGGAATGCTATGCAGCCATAGAAAAGGATGAGTTCATGCCCTTTGCAGGGACATGGATGAAACTGGAAACCATCATTCTCAGCAAACTATCACAAGGACAGAAAACCAAACACTGCATGTTCTCATTTATAAGTGGGAGTTGAACAATGAGAACACTTGGACACAGGGTGGGGAACATCACACACCAGGGCCTGTCGGGGGGTGGGGGGCACTGGGGGAGGGATAGCATTAGGAGAAATACCTAATGTAAATGACGAGTTGATGGGTGCAGCAAATCAACATGGCACATGTATACCTATGTAACAAACCTGCACATTGTGCACATGTACCCCAGAACTTAAAGTATAATTTTAAAAAATGCTTAATTCATGCCGAATATGTTCAGTGTGATTTTTAAAGGCTTCAAGATTCAATGTTATTCATACAACCTAATTTCTATTTTATTTCTCTCTCCATGAAGAGTCTTGTAAGAGGCCAGGCACGGTGGCTCACACCTGTAATCCCAGCACTTTGGGAGGCCAAAGTGGGAGGGTCACTTGAGGTCAGGAGTTTGAGACCAGACTGGGCAACAGGGTGAAACACTGTCTCTACTAAAGATACAAGAATTAGCCAGAATTGGTGGTGCATGCTTGTAATCCCAGCTACTCGGGAAGCTGAGGTAGGAGAATCACTTGAAACCGGGAGATGGAGGTTGCAATGAGCTGAGATTGCACCACTGCACTCCAGCCTGGGCGACAGAGCAAGACTCCATCACAAAAAAGAAAAAAAAAAGTATTTTAAGAAGCATAAACAAATCAATCACCTTTGACTGAACATTGATTGGTACTTGTTCTGATTTGATCCAATTCTAAGTCCCAGCATCCATTTTATCTTCTCCAAGTATAGTAGGGAATATTCATCAACTGTTTACTCAGTTATTTGATTTGATTTCTTATCACTTAACACTTAATCCAAGGATATAAATATCCTTTTGCCCAGTGGTAAACTTGTCATCCAATCCTTGAGTTTCTTTTGCAAACACGTTAGGTTTTTCTCAAGATTGAAATGCTCATCCAAACCCAATTTTTTTTTTTTTTTTTTTGCTGTCTTAAGTTGTTTTTTTTCCTCTTCTGACATAGTTTTAAGGCTATTTTGGCATTAGCTTCTCACTATTTAAAAGACTTCAACACATCTTCCAGTAACGGAACCCATATTCTAAACCTAGCCATGAATGTAATTCATTCTGAACTTTAAGGTGTTCTTTTTTTTTTAAAGATGACATATAAATGGCCAATAATCATATGAACAAATGCTAATCATAAGAGAACTGCAAATTAAAACCACAGTGAGATATTATGTTATGCCAGTCAAAATGGCCATTATTAAATTCAGAAAAAAAAAATTTTGCCGAGGGTATAGAGAAAAGGATTACATACACTATTGGTGGGAATGTAAATTAGTACAACCTCTGTGGAAAACAGTATGGAGACTTTTCAAAGAACTAAAAATAGAGCTACCATTCGATCCAGCAATCCCATTACTGGATATCAAGCTAAAGGTAAAGAAATCATTATATCAAAAAGAAACCTATGTGTCTATGTATATCGCAGCACTATCCACAATAGCAAAGTAATAAAATCAGCCTGAGTGTCCATCAGTGGACTATTGGATTTCTAAAATGTGGTATACATATATACACACTTTAGAATACTACTTGGCCATAAAAAGACTGAAATCATGTCTTTTGCAGCAACGTGACTGTAACTGGAGGCCATTGGCTTAAGAGAACTCAGAAACAAAAAGCCAAATGCTACATATTATCAATTATAAGTGGGAGCTAAACAATGGGTACATGTGGATATAGAGTGAAATATAGGCATTGGAGACTCCAAAAGGTGGGAGGCTGGGAAAGGGTTGAGGGATGAAAGACTACCTACTGAGGACAATGTATTTTATTTGGATGATGGATACATTGAAAAATCAGACTTCACCACTATGCAATATATCCATGGAACACAACTGCACTTCTACATTGTAAATCTGTAAAAATTCGCATTTTTCAAAAACATTCCTTTTTTTCAAAGCATCTATTTTGAACTCAAATTTCCTATACACTTAGAGGATTTAATGCCTTGTTCTAAGGGCAAGACTCCATGAAAAATAATTTATACTCTTCATACTCGTTTTTTTTTTAAGAGACAAAGTTTCACTCCCATTGCCCAGGCTGTAGTACAATGGCGTGATCTCGGCTCACTGCAACCTCTGCCTCCCAGGTTCAAGGATTATCCTGCCTCGGCCTCCCAAGTAGCTGGGATTACAGGATCTGCCACCATGCCTGGCTAATTTTTTGTATTTTTAGTAGAGACGGAATTTCACCATGTTGGCCGGGCTGGTCTCAAACTCCTGACCTCAGGTGATCCACCCGCCTCAGCCTCCCAAAGCGCTGGGATTACAGGCATGAGCCACCACACCAAGCTCATATTCTTTTTTAATCAGCCTAATTTATTAAAACATTACATTTGTCTTCAACTACAGAAGAAACTTCTCTGGTAAACTCTTTTTTTTCTCTCTACATAAAGTGGGCTTTTATAATTACAAAATCCAAATAGAGCCGCACTTACCACCATCCCCCATGTTAAGCCATAGAACTCTGATGTGAGTCTCATGTCTCCTTGCAACATTGACGTGGCCTCAATCAGCTTCTCCAGGACCTCTATAAAGTAACACCTCATAGCAGTAAGCAGGTCCTCCATAGCACCAGATCTGCCTTTGGTTGCCAAGACACTATGATTCTACAACAAACTGCAGAGAACACTAGCAGTGTTCTGCTTGGAACCTAAATCTGCACCTAGCAACCAGGACAGCACATCAGTGGGATGCCAATGTGGGAGGATAGATGGGGCTTTCTAAACATTTTCACTATTAGCGCATGAAAAATGGGAAACTACAAGGCTCTTGTTGATCCAAGGAGACTGGCCACAGAGACTGTATTCCTTCTAGGCACTAACAAGCAACCCTAAAGTATGAGAGAATTAATGTCATTTCATACATGTGCAATTCAGGAATTACTAGGAACGTGGCAGTAAAGAACTTACATGCCCATATCAATAGTCAAAGTCCTCTTAATGTAAACATGTCTTTCTGAGGTTCTGCTAGACCTAATACTATTTAAAAATTCAAAGGTTCCTCACCTCAGCATCCCATCTTGTTTTGTTTTGGGTTAGATGAGGGGGATAAGCATGAGAGAGTTGAATTATTGTCATTAAGTTATCGATTTAACTTTCAAATGTAAAAACTCATAAAGGTTGAAGGTAATTTGGGGTTTAGGTTTTTTTAACTTTTATTTTAGGTTCATGGGTATATGTGCAGGTTTGTTATACAGGTAAACTGCGCATCACAGGGGTTTGGAGTACAGATAATTTCATCATCCAGGTAATAAGCATAGTACTCAATAGGTATTTTTTCTGATCTTCTTCCTCCTCCCACCCTCCACCGTCAAGTAGACCCCAGTGCATGTGGTTCACCTTCTAGTATCCATGTGTTCTTATGTTTAGCTCCCACTTATAAGTGAGAACATGTGGTATTTGGCTCTTTTCCATTTAGTTTGCTTAGGATGATGGCCTGCAGCTCCATCCATGGTGCTGCAAAGGAAATGACCTCATTCTTTTTATGACTGCATAGTATTCCATGGGGTCTATGTACCACATTTTCTTTACCCAATCTACTGTTGATGGGCATTTAGGTTGATTTCATGTATTTGCTGTTGTGAACAGTGCTGCAATGAACATACTCGTGCATATGTCTTTATGGTAGAATGATTTATATTCCTTTGGGTATATACCCGCTAATGGGATTGCTTGGTGGAAGAGTAGTTCTGTTTTAAGTTCTTGGAGGAATCATTACACCATTTTCCACAATAGCTAAGGTAATTTACATTCCCACCAGCAGTGTATAAGCATTCCCTTTTCTCCATAACCTTGATGTATCTGTTATTAATAATTTGACTTTTTGATAATAGCCATTCCACCTGGTACGAGATGGTATCTCATTGCGGTTTTGATTTGCATTTCTCTAATGATTAATGATATTGAGCATTTTTTCATATGCTTGGCCGCATGTGTACCTTCTTTTGGAAAGTGTCTGTTCATGTCTTTTGCTGACTTTTAAACGGCATTGTTTCTTTCTTATAAATTTGTTTAAGTTCTTTCTAGATGCCAGATATTAGACCTTTGTCAAATGCATTGTATGCAGATATTTTCTCTCATTTTGTAGGTTGTCTGTTTCCACTGTTGATAGTTTCTCTTACTGTGAGACGTTCTTTAGTTTAATTAGGCTTCATTTGTCAATTTTTGTTTTTGTTGCAATTGCTTTTGGCATCTTCATGATGAAATGTTTCCCAAGTCCTATGTCCAGAATGGTATTTCCTAGGTTATCTTCCAGAGTTTTTATATTAATAGTTTTCATTTTAACATTTAAGTGTTTAATCCATCTTGAGTTGATTTTTGTATGTGGTGCAAAGTTGGCATCCAGTTTCAATCTTCTGCACAGAGCTAGTCACTTATCCCAGCACCTTTTATAAAATGGGGAGTCCTTTCCCCATTGCTTGTTTTGGTCAGCTTTGTTGAAGATCATATTTTTTTGTAGGTGTGTTGCACTATTTCTGGGTTCTCTATTTATTCTATTGGTCTATATATCTGTTTTGTTTTGTTTTTTTTTTTTCCAGTACCGTGCTGTTTTGGATACTGTAGCCCTCTAGTATAAGTTGGGTAAGGTGATGCCTCTAGCTTTTTCCTTTTTTCTTAGGATTGCCTTGGCTATTAGGGCTCTTTTTCGGTTCCATACAAATTTTAAAATAGTTTTTTTCTAATGCTGTGAACAATGTCATCGGTAGTTTGATAGGAGTTGCACTGAATCTATAAATTGCTTTGGACCAGTGTGGCCATTTTAATGATACTGAATCTTAGTATCCATGAGCATGGGATGTTTTTCCATTTGTTTGTGGCACCTCTGATTTCTTTCAGCAGTTTTTTGTAATTCTCATTGTAGAGATGTTTTACGTTCTTGGTTAGCAGAATTTCTAGGTATTTTATTCTTCTTGTGGCAGTTGTGAATGGGATGGCATTCCTGATTTAGCCCTCAGATTGAATGTTGTTGATGTATGGGAATGCTAAATTTTTGTACATTGCTTTTGTATCCTGAAACTTTTCTGAAGTTGTTTATCAGATCAAGGAGCTTTTGGACCAAGACTATGGGGTTTTCTCATACGGATTCATGTCTTTTGCAACCAGGAATAGTATAACTTCCTCTCTTCTTATTTGGATGCCTTTCATTTCTTTCTCTTGCCTGATTGCTCTGGCCAGGACTTCCAGTACTATGTTGAATAGGTGTGGTGAGAGAGGGCATCCATGTCTTATGCCGGTTTTCAAGGGGAATGCTTCCAGCTTTTTCCATTCAGTATGATGTTGGCTGTGGGTTTTTTATAGATTGCTTTTATTATTTTGAAGTATATTCCTTCAATGCCTAGTTTATTGAGGGTTTTTAACATGAAGGGATGTTGAATTTTATTGAAAGCCTTCTCTGCATGTATTGAGATAATTATGTGGTTTTTGTTTTCATTTCTGTTTATGTGATGAATCACATGTATTGATTTGCATATGTTGAACCAACCTTTCCTCTCAGGGATAAAGCCTACTTGATCATGGTAGGCTTTATCCCTGGGACGCAAGGGGTCATGGTAGGCTTTTTCTCTGCGATGCAAATGCTCACACCCTAATCTGTGGAGCCTGTGATTATATGTTACTTTACATGGCAAAAGGACTTTTATAGATGTGATTAAATTCAGAATCTTGAGATGGGGATATTATCCTGGATTAGGCAGGTAGGCTAATATAATCACCTGTGTCCATATAAGAGGGAGGCTGGAGGTCAGAGAAAAGATACTCTGCTGCTGACTTTAAAGATAGAAGAATGGGCCATGAGCCAAGGAATATAGGTCACCTCTAGAAGATAGAAAACGTGAGGAAATAGCTATTTCAACAAAAAGCTAAGAAATTGGGTTTTTATATGCTGTTGGATTTGGTTTGCTAGTATTTTGTTGAGGAGAATCAAGGTAATTTGAAAGATCTTCAAATTTCAAGGATTTACACTCCTGCCAAATGACTCCCCAAACCCATAGCCAGTCACTGTTCTTCACCATTGCCCCACTCTCAAGCACAATACAAAAACTTTCCATTTCCTGAGAGGGTAAAGAAATGTGGTGTTATAACAAAATAAATATTTGCCAACAATATTACCATCTCTTGGTGTTATCTACTCCATGCATTTCTAGTGAATTGTTCATTAGGAAACCCCATTGCTTTATTCAAAGTTTTTGTCATTTGACCTAAGATAAACAAAGTTATCTGTTCCTCCCAAAGAAAAGTGTCAGATATGTCAAGTTCATCTGAGTTTGCCAACAGTAAGAAAATATTTTAAGAAGTATGGAGACATATAAAAAAGACATATAAGCCACCCAGAAGGGATCCTCTCTAGCCAAAACACTGACCATTTCAGCATCAAAATAATGATAGAATGAAATAAGAATGCATAAGACCATATTAAGATATATGGATAGACACATAGATAAATAATACCTGATACACACACGTACACACACACACACACACACACACACACACACAGGAACAAAGGAAAGCTATTCCTTCATATAGAATGCCAACTCTATTAGTTTTCCATTGTTGCTAAAACAAATTACTACAAATTTGGTGTTTAAAATAACAAAAATATCTTATATATCTGGAGAAAGAAAGACTAAATTGGATCTACAGGGCTGCACATCTTCCGCAGGCTCTAGGACAGAACATGTTTCCTCAACTACTCCAGCTTCTAGAAGCAACCTGTATTCCGTGGCTCATGGCCCATTCCTCTATCTTTAAAGTCAGCAGCAGAATATCTTCTCTCTGACTAAGAATGTGGCAGGAAAGAACTTACATGCCCTCTCTCTTATATGGATATGTGTGATTATGTCAGCCCTCCTGGCTAATACAGGATAATAATCCCAACTCAAGGTTGAGAATTTAATCACATCTATAAAAACCCTTTTGCAGGCTGAAAATTCCAAAATCCAGAATGCCTCTTCTCCTCCAAAGGATCACAACTCCTCACGAGCAAGGGAACAAAACTGGATGGGGAATGAGTTTGACGAATTGACACAAGTAGGCTTCAGAAGGTGGGTAATAACAAACTCCTCCAAGCTAAAGGAGCATGTTTTAACCCAATGCAAGGAAGCTAAGAACCTTGAAGAAAAGATAGAAGACTTCCTAACTAAATTAATCAGTTTAGAGAAGAACATAAATGACCTGATGGAGCTGAAAAACAGCACGAGAACTTTGTGAAGCATACAAAGGTATCAATAGCCGAATTGATTAAGCAGAAGAAAGGATATCAGAGATTGAAATTCAACTTAATGAAATAAAGCGTGAAGACAAAATTAGAGAAAAAAGAATGAAAATGAATGAACAAAGCCTCCAAGAAATATGGGACTATGTGAAAAGACCAAACCTACGTTTGATTGGTGTACCTGAAAGTGATGGGGAGAATGGAACCAAGCTTGAAAACACTCTTCAGGATATAATCCAGGAGAATTTCCCCAACCTAGCAAGACAGGTCAACATTCAAATTCAGGAAATGCAGAGAAAAATACTAAGATATTCCTCAAGAACAGCAACCCCAAGACACATAATCATAATATTCACCAAGGTTGAAATGAAAGAAAAAAATGTTAAGGGCAGCCAGAGAGAAAGGTCACGTTACCCACAAAGGGAAGCCCATCAGACTAACAGCAGGTCTCTCAGCAAAAACCCTACAAGCGAGGGGAGAGTGAGAACGAATATTCAAAATTCTTAAAGAAAAGAATTTTCAACCCAGAATTTCATATCCAGCCAAACTAAGCTTCATAAGTGAAGGAGAAACAAAATCCTTTACAGACAAGCAAATGCTGAGAGATTTCGTCACCACCAGTCCTGCCTTACGGGAGTTCCTGAAGGAAGTACTAAATATGGAAAAGAAAAATCAGTACCAGCCACTGCAAAAACATACCAAAGAATCAATATCATGAAAATGGCCATACTGCCCAAAGTAATTTATAGATTCAGTGCTATCCCAATCAAGCTACCACTGACTTTCTTCACAGAATTAGAAAAAAACTACTTTAAATATCACATGGAACCAAAACAGAGCCCGTATAACCAAGACAATCCTAAGCAAGAAGGAGAAAGTTGGAGGCATCATGCTACCTGACTTTAAACTATACTACAAGAATACAGTAACCAAAACAGCATGGTATGTGTACCAAAACGGATATATAGACCAATGGAACAGGACAGAGGCCTCTGAAATAATGCCACACGTCTACAACCACCTGATCTTTGACAAACCAGACAAAAACAAGCAATGGGGAAAGGATTCCTTATTTAATAAATGGTGTTAGGAAAACTGGCTAGCCATATGCAGAAAACTGAAACTGGACCCCTTCCTTACACCTTACACAAAAATTAACTCAAGACAGATGAAAGACTTAAACGTAAGACCTAAAACCATAAAAACCCTAGAAGAAAACCTAGGCAATACCATTCAGGATATAGGCATGGGCAAAGACTTCATGACTAAAACACCAAAAGCAATGGCAAGAAAAGACAAAATTGACAAATGGGATCTAATTAAACTAAAGAGCTTCTGCACAGCAAAAGAAACCTTCTGGACAAGCAGCCTACAGAATGGGAGAAAATTTTTGCAATCTATCCATCTGGCAAAGGGCTAATATCCAGAGTCTACAAAGAATTTAAACAAATTTACAAGAAAAAACAACCCCATCAAAAAGTGGGCGAAGGATATGAACAGACAGTTCTCTAAAAAAGACATTGATGCAGCCAACAAACATATGAAAAAAAGCTCATTATCTCTGGTCATTAGAGAAATGTAAATCAAAACCACAATGAGATACCATCTCACACCAGTTAGAATGGTGATCATTAAAAAGTCAGGAAACAACAGATGCTGGAGAGGATGTGGAGAAATAGGAATGCTTTTACACTGTTGGTGAGAATGTAAATTAGTTCATCCATTGTGGAAGACAGTGGGGCAATTCCTCAAGGATCTAGAACCAGCAATACCATTTGACTCAGCAATCCCATTACTAGGTATATACCCAAAGGATTATAAATCATTCTACTATAAAGACACATGCACATGTATGTTTATTGCAGCACCATTCATAATAGCAAAGACTTGGAACCAACCCAAATGCCCATCAATGATAGACTGGAATAAGAAAATGTAGCACATATACACCATGGAATACTATGCAGCCATAAAAAAGAACGAGTTTATGTCCTTTGTAGGGACATGGATGAAACTGGAAACCATCATTCTCAGCAAACTAAAACAGGAACAGAAAACCAAACACTGCATGTTCTCACTCATAAGTGGGAGTTGAACAGTGAGAACACATGGACACAGGGATGGGAACATCACACAGTAGGGTCTGTTAGAAGGTGGGAGGGCTAGGGAGAGATAGCATTAGGAGAAATACCTAATGTAGATGATGAGTTGATGGGTGCAGCAAACCAGCATGGCACATGTATGCCTATGTAACAAACCTGCACATTCCGCACATGTCTTCCAGGACTTAAAATATAAAAAATAAAATTAATTTTGCCACGTAAGGTAATATATAATAACTTATCCCAGTGATTAGGTTGTGATCATTTGAGAGAAGGAGAGGAAGTATTTAGCCTGCCACACAAATTATTAAATTTGGAAGGAATGATGGAACTTTAAGAATCATTACTTGGAAACCACTATAGTAATAATTGTTTCTGGGAAGGAATATTAAGGGATGCTTACTAATAAAACTAGTGGATGAAAGCTAGTTAAAAAACAGAATGCTACCTAATCTCAACATACTTCCCCACATGACACTTATATATTACTGAGAAAAACACTAATTTTTATAGTAAAGATGCCTGGCAGATACAACATTAACCAAGTAATCAAAGCCAATATTGCCCATAACAGAATAAAGAAATATGTACATACTGATAGGATGCACTAAGGAGAACACAATCACACTTTTGTGGTATTCCTGACAGAAGTTTACAGGGAAAAAGAAGCTGATGCTTCAGTGCAGTTAGTCATCATTCCTATCTGGGAAAAAGCTGGCTTCACTGTTAGTTCTACAGTAAAATTGCTTGCCGCATAAATTCATTTCTGCTTTGGAAATCCCAGTTCACAAACGTTGACATGAGGTTTAGGCCTGACAAGGGGAGCATCTCAGGGCTTCTACTTTGCCTTCAGTGTTGTTGACATAGGAACAGGTCGTCAGAGCTAAAAATGTATTGTCCTTACCCTGATTTTTTCATATACAAGTTGCCAGAGCTTATGCAAGCACCTATCTCCTCCCTTCAGTTTGATAAAGTGAGAGAACTCATTCTTGTTGTTCTGCTGCATAAAGTTTGCTTGACTGGTTTGAAAAGTACAAAACAATAAAAACAATAATATCTGTGTTACACTTTGGGGGAATTATTAGTAACTGATCACTTTCAGATTACAAATTAAATAGCACAGGTTAATATGACTAGGATTCAATATTAGATATCCTATAATTATAACCTTGCCAAGACCACCTCGATCATGGAGATGCTAACCCAGCGGCACTAGAGGAATTAAAGACACACACACAGAAATATAGAGTATGGAGTGGGAAATCAGGGCACTCACAGCCTTCAGAGCTGAGAGCCCTGAACAGAGTTTGACCCACATATTGATTGACACGAAGCCAGTGATAAGCATTATTTCTATAGATTATAGATTAACTAAAAGTATTCCTTAAGGGAAACAAAGGGATGGGCCGAAACAAAGGGATGGGCTCTGTCTAGTTATCTGCAGCAGAAACATGTCCTTAAGGCACAGATCACTCATGCTATTGTTTGTGATTTAGGAATGCCTTTAAGCGGTTTTCTGCCCTGGGTGGGCCAGGTGTTCCTTGCCCTCATTCTGGTAAACCCACAACCTTCAGCATGGGCATCATGGCCATCACAAACATGTCACAGGGCTGCAGAGATTTTGTTTATGGCCAGTTTTGGGGCCAGTTTATGGCCAGATTTGGGGGCCTGTTCCCAACATAACCTCCCAAAAGAAAACAAAAAGTCTACACATATAAAAGAAAATGTATATATTTTGTAAGAGAAGAAGGAGAAAAGAGCCCAGAAAATTAAAAAGCCAAAAAAAATTTAAAGAGTGAGAAGTGATATCAATAAAACGGCAAAATAGGACTTTCCAGTGCCAGTTGGCCCCCTAGGTCAGACTCTGTAGTCCCAAGATCCATGCCAGTACCCAAGGGCCTAGCCTCCAGACCAGCACATATAAGCTGGGCCCCATAAACCCAGGCTCCAGACAAGCCCCTAAGGCAGCAAGTTCCACTCTAGAACCAGGCCAGTTCCAGGCTTCAGGTTGATCCCCACCACTCTAGGTTCCACTGGACCTAAAGTTCAGGCCCACACCAGTAGCTATCACCTCATACCTCACACCAGTTAGATCTATTATGAAAAACACAAAGGACAACAGGTGGTGGGAAGAATATGGAGAAAAGAGAATTCTTATACATTGTTACATTGTTTTTTGAAATGTAAATTAGGACAGCCATGAGGGAAAACACTATGAAGTTTCCTAAATAAATTTAAAATAGGGCCAGGCGCAGTGGCTTATGCCTGTAATTCCAACACTTTGGGAGGCCGAGGTCGGCAGATCACCTGAGGTCAGGAGTTTGAGACCAGCCTGGCCAACATGGTGAAATCCCATCTCTACCAGAAACAAGCAATGGGGAAAGGATTCTCTGTTTAACAAATGGTGGTGGGAAAACTGGCTAGCCATATGCAGAAAACTGATACTGGACCCCTTCCTTATACCTTAGGCAAAAATTAACTCAAGATAGCTTAAAGACTTAAATGTAGAACCCAAAACCATATAAACCCTAGAAAAGAACCTAGGCAATACCATTCAGGATATAGGCATGGGCAAAGACTTCATGACTAAAACACCAAAAGCAACGGCAACAAAAGACAAAATTGACAAATGGGATCTAATTAAACTGAAGAGCTGCTGCACAGCAAAAGAAACTACCATCAGAGTGAACAGGCAACCTACAGAATGGGACAAAATTTTTGCAATCTATGCATCTGACAAAAGTCTAATATCCAGAATATATGAGGAACTTAAACAAATTTATGAAAATAAAACAAACAACCCCATCAAAAAGTGAGCAAAGGATATAAATAGAAACTTCTCAAAAGAAGGCATTTATGGAGCCAACAAACACATGAAAAATAGCTCGTCATCACTGGTCATTCGAGAAATGCAAATCAAAACCACGAGATACCATCTCACACTAGTTAGAATGGCAATTATTAAAATGTCAGGAGACAACAGATGCTGGCGAGTCTGTGGAGAAATAGGAATGCTTTTACACTGTTGGTGGGAGAGTAAATTAGTTCATCCATTGTGGAAGACAGTGTGGCGATTCCTCAAGGATCTAGAACCAGCAATACCATTTGACCCAGCAATCCCATGAGTGCGTATATATCCAAAGGATTATAAATCATTCTACTATAAAGACACATGCACATGTATGTTTATTGCAGCACCATTTACAATAGGAAAGACTTGGAACCAACCCAAATGCCCATCAATAATAGACTGGATGAAGAAAATGTGGCACATATACACCATGGAATACTATGCAGCCATAAAAAAGAATGAGTTCATGTCCTTTGCAGGGACATGGATGAAGCTGGAAACCATTATTTTCAGCAAAATAACACAGGAACAGAAAACTAAACACTGCATGTTCTCACTCATAAGCGGTAGTTAAACAATGAGAACACATGGACACAGGGAGGGCAACATCACACACTGGGGCCTGTCACGGGTTCAGGGGGAAGGAGAGGGAGAGCATTAGGACAAATATCTAATGCATGTGGGGCTTAAAACCTAGATGACAGGTTGATAGGTGCAGCAAACCACTATGGCACATGTATACCTATGTAACAAATTTGCACATTCTGCACATGTATCCGAGAACTTAAAGTAAAATAAACATAAAAATAATGAAAAATAAAAGATTTCATAAGAACTTATACGAGAAACTACATCGGCCTTAGGGTAATTAAAGATTTGCTAGGACACACACACACACACACACACACACACACACACACACACACAAGAAATCCTGTCTCTACTAAAAATACAGAAATTAGCTGGGCGTGGTGGTGCTTACCTGTAGTCCCAGCTACTCTGGAGGCTGAGGCAAGACAATCGCTAGAACCCAGGAGGTGGGAGTTGCAGTAAGCCGAGATCCCACCACTGCACTCCAGCCTGGGCGACAGAGCGAGACTCTGTCTCAAAAAATTAATTAATTAATTAATTAATAATAAATAAAAATAGAACTGCCATATGATCCATCAATCACACTTCTGGGTTTATATCCAAAAGAATTAAATCACTATGTTGAAGAGCTATCTCCACTTCCATGAATATGGCAGCAAATTCATAATAGCCAAAGTATTGAATCAATCTAAGAGTCAATCAATGAATGAGTGAATTTAAAAAGTGTAGTTTATATACAATAGAATACTATTCTGCCTTAAAATAAGAAGGAAGTCCTAATATTTTCAAACACATGGCAAACCTGAGGACACTTTGCTAAGTAAAATGAGCCAGGCACAGAAAAATAAATACTGCACGATCTAATGTGTGAAATCTACATAAAATGAACTCATAGAAGCACAAAGTAGTAGAATGAGGCTTGTCAGGGGTTAGCAGTGGAGGGAGGGAAAATGGGGAGATGCTGGTCAAAGGGTACAAAGTTTCAGTTAGAAGGAATAAATTCAAGAGATCTATTCTATAGTATGGTGACTATAGTTAATAAAACTGTACTGCATACTTGAAAATTGCTAAGATAACAGATCCTAAATGTTCTCACCACAAAACAGGTAAGTATGTGAGTTAATGATTTGTTAATTAGCTTGAATAATAATTGCATAATTATACATATATCAAAACTTTATGCTGTATATCATAAATAAATACAACTTTTCACTTAATAAAGATGGAGAGGATATTTGAGTAGGTGAGAAACCAGGATGCTACAGGAAGTGTTACAAATCGTAAGATTTCCATAGTAGGAAATAGTTCAAAGAGCTAAGCTATGTTCTTTAAGTTTTAAAAAATTTGTTTTTATGTGATGTTTTACCCTAAGTGGTCTCAATTGTTTACTAAAAGTTATTTTACATACACTATTCTTGGTTCTTCATTTCTTGGGTAAGCTTAAGGACAAGGGCAAATGACTCATATTTTTCATGCCTAGTTAGAAATAAAGGAAGAGTCACAGATGCAGAAAGAAGATAAAGTCAGCAGAATCAATGCAATTGCAAGTCACACTAGAAATTGGAGGGAAGTTCCGAGATGCATTTTTATTTTTATAATTTAGGAAATAGTGTGTGAATCAATCACATCCAAATCTCACAGGCCTCAAAAGCTACAGCTGACATTCCAGTTATAGAGAAAACTCAGGCATTGCAAGTACGTTACATTATACTGAATTCTCCTTTAGTCATTTTTCCACATCATTTGACTACGACTGTCAGTTTAAATTGCTCTAGGTATAACGCAATTATTTCAGATGAAGATGGTTGACAATAATATATAGAACAAAATGATAACTTCTATAAAATATATTTATTTGAAACCATATATTGATATTCCTAATATACTTATTAACTATAAATATTCAAATTAGAACAAGCTTAAAAATAAAAATAAACTAACATTTTCCATATAACAGCTTTTATCATAAAAATTTTCCAGTATATTTAAACATAATTCTTTTATACACCCATTGACTTCAAGTCATTTTCAGAGCCTCTCTATTTGCCTCAAATGTTCTCCATAGCTCTTTAGGTAATGCAGTTGCTCCAAGCACTTACCTCACCTAAGTATACCTAGACGGTGATGACCATTTCTTTATAAGCTACATAGGTCAGCTTTACCAGCTCCTTTCACCTCCAATATCCTTCTCACTGCCTTGTAAAAAAGAGGGATCTTGGACGCCGACTTCTGCTACACTGCTTCAACATCTCTCTTGCTACAATTTATAAAACTTATTGTCTTACTATTGATATTGGATATCAAAGAATATGGACCAAAATTCCTCTCAAAATTTACATCCAACAAAAAATAAGTAGTGTTGGAGGAAAGGATTTGAAGTATTTTGCTGTGTATTCAACTAAACTAAAGATAGAAGACAAAAGTATTCTGCCTAAACAGCAAAAAATTAAAAGACATATTCTAGATATTTTAAAATTGAGAGTATCATCTTTTCATAGGAATTATAACTTCACTTTTATCAATATTTACAACAAATTTCATGCCTTATTTTTAATCAGGAAAAGTCTTTCTTGTATTCATTAGGTTTGTGCCATGGAAAAACATCACTATAGATGTTTTATCTTGATTTTACACAGCTGTTTTCTCCAAAAGTGAATGGTATTTAAGCTGAATGTGTTTTATTCCTACCTGTTACCAGGATCTCCACGACTTTGTTAGAGTACATGCTCAGCAAGTGCTAACAGAGTGAGTGAATAAAAGAATGGTTGATAAATGAACAGATGGATGAATCATTGTGAGGAAAGACTCCATTATATTGTTAATATCACACAAACACAGGCTCACTCCCACCCCCTTAGTCTCTTCACTACCCCTCTTACATCTTTGTTTCTGAGGGTGTAGATTAGAGGGTTAAGACTAGGTGTAACAACAGTATAAAAGAGAGCAATGAACTTGCCTTGATCTTGAGAATTCCCTGATGGTGGCTGGAGATACATGCACATGGCCGGAATGAAAAAGAGAGATACAACCATATGATGAGCTCCACATGTTCCAAATACTTTCTGAAGCCCAGTGGTTGACTGCATCCTCAGTACAGCCTGGGCAATAGCACCATAGGAAGTGAAAATGAGGGTGAGAAGTAGCAGAACAAAAATGGAGCTTGTGATCATGAGGGTCAGTTTATTTTCACGGGTATTGACAAATGATAATCATAAAAGTGCCGGAACTTCACAGAAAAAGTGATCTATTTGGCGGTGTCCACACAGAGGTACCCAGAAGGTGAAGGAGGAATGAAGTGCTGGGTTTGTAAAACCACTTACCCAAGAAGCCACAGCCAACAAGTGGCAGAAACGAGAGTGCATGAGGACAGTGTAATGCAAAGGTCTACACACAGCTGCATAACGGTCATAGGACATCACCACCAGTAGGACACACTCTGTGGTTCCCAGTGTGAGAAAAAAGTAAAGTTGAACCATGCAACCAGCATAAGAAATGGTCTTTTCCACACCCCAGAGACTGACCAGCAACTGAGGGATAGAGCTGGTGGTGTAGCAGAGATCCAGAAATGAGAGATTTGAAAGGAAGAAATACAAGGGAGTATGGAGATGGGAGTCCAGGTACGTCAGGATGATGATGAACAGGTTTCCTATCAGTGTCATCAAGCAGAAGATCAAAATAACCACAAAGAGAACTACTTCCAGATAAGGCCAATTAGAAAATCCAACTAAAATAAAGTACCCCTCAGAGCTAGCATTGACTTTTCCATCATCATTCATTTCCTATTACCTGAGAGAAAAAAAAAATCAGGTAAACTCAAAAAGCAGTAAACAAATGCTCCAAAAAACATCAGGATACGTAAAAAAAATAAAATCCAGTTTGAAGGGCTTGCCATCATTTAATTGTAGGACAATTTAACCATTAGTAGTAATGAACTTAACAAAAGAAGAATTATAAAGCTCGTACTGATATAAAAAGTAAGAGTAAATAAATGAATGGTGAAGAAAAAGCCATTCCTAACAGTAGATCCCTAATTAATAAACATAGAAGGGATGATGGTGTTAAGAAAAACATAAATGATTGCAAAACTAGTGGATAAAAATTTGATGGGGAACAGGACATGTACATAGTCTAAAATATCTCCTCACAACTTTCTTGTTAATTTCAAACTGAAAAACAGTGAAGTTTACAGTAGAAAAACCTGGCAGACACCAACATAACCAAGTGATTTTATTGATCTTAAGATCACCTGTATTTGTACAAACCAACATCATGAGACTGCTGAGATGCTGCTCTGAACAGGGCATGATGTCACCTCAGTGATATTTATGTTAAAAATACACAGACTAATTCTAATAATGAAGACACATGAGAAAAACTCTAATTGAGAGAAATAGTTTGCCTGTACAATTCAAAAGTATCAAGTTTAAGTAGACAAACAAAGGCGGTGGCACTGGTCCAGATGGAAGGAGACTAGTGAGATGTGATTTCTCAGTGTATCATCTGGGATTTTTTTAAAAAGTGGCTATTAACAAAATTATTGGGACTATTTAAGAAATCTCACTGTGGACTATGGATTAGATAATAATATTGTGCCCATATTAAATTTGCTGATTTGGGTACTGTGCAGGACTTATGTAAAATAACATCCTTCTTCTTAGACAAGAAACATTGAATAAAATATTTGGTGTAAATGTCTTGAATGGGCTAAATGCTCCAATTAAAAGACACAGACTGGCAAATTGGATAAAGGGTCAAGACCCATCAGTGTGCTGTATTCAGGAAACCCATCTCACATGCAGAGACACACATAGGTTCAAGATAAAGGGATGGAGGAAGATCTACCAAGCAAATGGAAAACAAAAAAAGGGAGGGGTTGCAATCCTAGTCTCTGATAAAATAGACTTTAAACCAACAAAGATCAAAAGAGACAAAGAAGGCCATTACATAATGGTAAAGGGATCAATTCAACAAGAAGAGCTAACTATCCTAAATATACATGCACCCAATACAAGAGCACCCAGATTCATACAACAAGTCCTTAGAGACCTACAAAGAGACTTAGACTCCCACACAATAATAATGGGAGACTTTAACACCCCACTGTCAACAATAGACAGATCAACAAGACAGAAAGTTAACAAGGATATCCAGGAATTGAACTCAGCTCTGCACCAAGCGGTCCTAATAGACATCTACAGAACTCTCCACCCCAAATCAACAGAATATACATTCTTCTCAGTACCACATCACACTTATTCCAAAATTGACCACATAGCTGGAAGAAAAGCACTCCTCAGCAAATGTAAAAGAACAGAAATTATAACAAACTGTCTCTCAGACCACAGTGCCATCAAACTACAACTCAGGATTAAGAAACTCACTCAAAACCACTCAACTACATGGAAACTGAACAACCTGCTCCTGAATGACTACTGGTACATAACGAAATGAAGGCAGAAATAAAGATGTTCTTTGAAACCAGCGAGAACAAAGATACAACATACCAGAATCTCTGGGACACATTTAAAGCAGTGTGTAGAGGGAAATTTATAACACTGAATGTCCACAAGAGAAAGCAGGAAAGATCTAAAACTGACACCCTAACATCATAATTAAAAGAACTAGAGAAGTAAGAGCAAACACATTCAAAAGCTAGCAGAAGGCAAGAAATAACTAAGATCAGAGCAGAACTGAAGGAGATAGACACACAAAAAACCATTCAAAAAATCAATGAATCCAGGAGCTGGTTTTTTGAAAGATCAACAAAATTGATAGACTGCTAGCAAGACTAATAAAGAAGAAAAGAGAGAAGAATCAAATAGACACAACAAAAAATGATAAAGGGGATATCACCACCGATCCCACAGAAACACAAACTACCATCAGAGAATACTATAAACACCTCTATGCAAATAAACTAGAAAATCTAGAAGAAATGGATAAATTCCTCGACACATACACCCTCCCAAGACTAAACCAGGAAGAAGTTGAATCTCTGAATAGACCAAATAACAGGCTCTGAAATTGAGGCAATAATTAGTAGCTTACCAACCAAAAAAAAGTCCAGGACCAGACGGATTCACAGCCGAATTCTACCAGAGGTACAAGGAGGAGCTGGTACCATTCCTTCTGAAACTACTCCAATCAATAGAAAAAGAGGGAATCCTCCCTAACTCATTTTATGAGGCCAGCATCATCCTGATACCAAAGCCTGGCAGAGACACAACAAAAAAAGAATTTTAGACCAACATCCCTGATGAACCTCGATGCAAAAATCCTCAATAAAATACTGGCAAACCGAATCCAGCAGCACATCAAAAAGCTTATTCACCATGATCAAGTGGGCTTCATCCCTGGGATGCAAGCCTGGTTCAACGTACGCAAATCAATAAACATAATCCAGCAGAACAAAAGACAAAAACCACATGATTATCTCAATAGATGCAGAAAAGGGCTTTGACAAAATTCAACAGCCCTTCATGCTAAAAACTCTCAATAAACTAGGTATTGATGGAACGTATCTCAAAATAATAAGAGCTATTTATGACAAAACCACAGCCAATATCATACTGAATGGGCAAAAACTGGAAGCATTCCCTTTGATAACTGGCACAAGACAGGGATGCCCTCTCTCACCACTCCTATTCAACATAGTGTTGGAAGTTCTGGCCAGGGCAATCAGGCAGGAGAAAGAAATAAAGGGTATTCAATTAGGAAAAGAGGAAGTCAAATTGTCCCTGTTTGCAGATGACATGATTGTATATCTAGAAAACCCCATCATCTCAGCCCAAAATCTCCTTAAGTTGATAAGCAACTTCAGCAAAGGCTCAGGATACAAAATCAATGTGCGAAAATCACAAACATTCTTATACACCAATAACAGGCAAACAGAGAGCCAAATCATGAGTGAACTCCCATTCACAATTGCTTCAAAGAGAATCAAATACCTAGGAATCCAACTTACAAGGGATGTGAAGGACCTCTTCAAGGAGAACTACAAACCACTGCTCAATGAAATAAAAGAGGATACAAACAAATGGAAGAACATTCCATGCTCATGGATAGGAAGAATCAATATCGCGAAAATGGCCATACTGCCCAAGGTAATTTATAGATTCGGTGCGATCCCCATCAAGCTACCAATGACTTTCTTCACAGAATTGGAAAAAACTGCTTTAAAGTTCATATGGAACCAAAAAAGAGCCCGCATTGCCAAGCCAATCCTAACCCAAAAGAACAAAGCTGGAGGCATCACGCTACCTGACTTCAAACTATACTACAAGGCTACAGTAACCAAAACAGCATGGTACTGGTACCAAAACAGAGATATAGACCAATGGAACAGAATACAGCCCTCAGAAATAATACCACACATCTACAAGTATCTGATCTTTGACAAACCTGAAAAAAACAAGAAATGGGGAAAGGATTCCCTATTTAACAAATGCTGCTGGGAAAACTGGCTAGCTATATGTAGAAAGCCGAAACTGGATCCCTTCCTTACACCTTATACAAAAATTAATTCAAGATGGATTAAAGACTTCAATGTTAGACCTAAAACCATAAAAACCCTAGAACAAAACCTAGTCAATACCATTCAGGACATAGGCATGGGCAAGGACTTCATGTCTAAAACACCAAAAGCAATGGCAACAAAAGCCAAAATTGACAAATGGGATCTAATTAAACTAAAGAGTTTCTGCACAGCAAAAGAAACTACCATCAGAGTGAATAGGCAACCTACAGAATGGGAGAAAATTTTTGCAAGCTACTCATCTGACAAAGGGCTAATATCCAGAATCTACAATGAACTCAAACAAATTTACAAGAAAAGAACAAACAGCCCCATCAAAAAGTGGACGAAGGACATGAACAGACACTTCTCAAAAGAAGACATTTATGCAGCCAAAAAACACATGAAAAGATGCTCACCATCACTGGCCATCAGAGAAATGCAAATCAAAACCACAATGAGATACCACCTCACACCAGTTAGAATGGCAATCATTAAAAAGTCAGGAAACAACAGGTGCTGGACAGGATGTGGAGAAATAGGAACACTTTTACACTGTTGGTGGGACTGTAAACTAGTTCAACCATTGTGGAAGTCAGTGTGGTGATTCCTCAGGGATCTAGAACTAGAAATACCATTTGACCCAGCCATCCCATTACTGGGTATATACCCAAAGGATTATAAATCATGCTGCTAGAAAGACACATGCACACGTATGTTTATTACGGCACTATTCACAACAGCAAAGACTTGGAACCAACCCAAATGTCCAACAATGATAGAGTGGATTAAGAAAATGTGGCACATATACACCATGGAATACTATGCAGCCATAAAAAATGATGAGTTCATGTCCATGTAGGGACATGGATGAAGCTGGAAACCATCATTCTCAGCAAACTATCCCAAGGACAAAAAACCAAACACCGCATGTTCTCACTCATGAGTGGGAATTGAGCAATGAGAACATTTGGACACAGGAAGGGGAACATCACACACCGGGGCCTGTTGTGTGGTGGGGGGAGGGATAGCATGAGGAGATATACCTAATGTAAATGACGAGTTAATGGGTGCAGCACAGCAACATGGCACATGTATACATATGTAATAAACCTGCAGGTTGTGCACAAGTACCGTAGAACTTAAAGTATAATAATAATAATTATAATAAAAGAACATTATAGCATTAAGAAAAGGAAGAAACCACAATGTTAATGAACAATAGATAGTATTAACCACGCACACATTTTTAGACTTTTAACATCACAAATTGTAACAAACCAAAATAAGAGGCAATGAACTAAGAAAATACATATGAATTTGTATAACCTTGGAACACAAAAGTTTATACAACTTAATATGAAACTGAAACTCCAATACAGTTATGTACATAGAATGCAGACAAATAATTAACACAAAATAGAAAATTTAAAAGGAATAAAAATGACCTAATAATTAAAAAAAAAAGTACTTGGTGTAAAGGTACGTGGCATCTCCAACTTACTCTCAGCTAGTGCAGAAAAAGAGATAGATGATAGATAGATAGATAGATAGATAGATAGATAGATAGATAGATAGATATAATAGATGATAGAGATATAGATAGATAGATAGATAGATAGATAGATAGATAGATAGATGATATAACAAAGCTTTGGGGGAAAATGTAAACTAATGCTTAATCTGGTTATAGGGTAAATGTCAGTCTTTGTACTACTTTTTTGCAATTCTTCTCTAAGTTTGAAATTTTACCATAATAAAAAGTCACAAAAAATAGAAAACAATTTTTTAATTTTATATTTTATTCATATATTTGCCTTATAGAAGAATAACTATCGAGTTCTTCCCATTCATTTTATGGTGACTTCTAGGTAAATGGTAATTGAAAGAAATTTCTAACCTAGCTAAGGAAGATAATTTCCATAAAACACAAAATTTTTCTTTGTTAATGAATAAGGAACTTTTCTTTTCAGCATTTTCAGGTTATTTTCAAAAATGTGATTATAGAAAACATAACAATTGCAATCCCAATAATTTTACATACGGATGAAATAATATGTTGAAAATATTGAATTTAGTAGTGATTTCAAAATGTTCATGTAAAGTGAAAAAAAAGTTTAGCTTCAATGGGACTACAGGCATGTGCCACCATGCCTAGCTAATTGTTTTGTATTTTTAGTAGAGATGGGGTTTCACCTTGTTAGCCAGGATGGTCTTGGTCTCCTGACCTCATGATCCACCTGACTCGGCCTTCCAAAGTGCTGGGATTACAGGTGTGAGCCACCGTGCTCGGCCTTGTTTTTGATTTTTAAAAAGTGAAAGATTTATACAATCTGAAGAGTAATCAGAGTTTATTGTTTCTGACTTTTAAAAGCTGTCTTAATGTATTAGCATTACCCCCAGTGACAAATTAAGCCATGCACAGATACTTCATCTTTTATGTTGCCATTTTTCCTGACAGAGAGTGTGTTCTGTTCAGACAGAGTATGTTATATTTATACACGTTACCAAGAATTTCACAAACTGGAAGAGAGTACACATTCAATAAGATTTAGCTAATAAAGAATAAGTTAATGAATAAATGGACAGATGAACGAAAGAGCCATTTTAAAGAGATATTAGTTTACTGTTCAATGTGACAAGTATGTAGACCTACAGGATAAATTAGATAATTTAGTGTCTTTAAAAAGTGTCTTTCAACCAAATACTTATGATATATCCTTTACCATATCTTAAACAATGTTATTCATTATGTTTACCATTTTTCTTTGCTGTGACTATTTTTAGCTTCATTTAAGGTTTATTCAATAACCAAAAACCTTTTTAGCCTAAGTCTTTGCAATATTGCCCTTCTCTTTCTGTATATATCATCAGTTCATAATTTAGCACATTGTTAGAAATATTCCCAACATTTTTGAAATAATCTCCTCATAACTATTCGCATGCACATTTATTTACGTTGAAACCACAGTCCACAATTTTCACAGAAATAAAATATACAATTGTAAAAGAACAAAGTGGCACTAATCAGAAACTTTATCTCAACATAATATTTCAGAACTAAATAATAAAAAGAGCAACAAATGTGATACTGAACTATTCTGTTTTGTGAGCTGTTAGAACAAAAATAAATCACAAAGAAGCAGGGAAACCACCTTTCAAGATGGCTAAGACCCTAGGAAAAACAATGACAACAGACAACATGATTTCCCTGTCACTTCCCCCACTCCCACCCCAATAGTCTCTTCGCTGCCCCTTTTACATGCTTGTTTCTGAGAGTGTAGATTAGAGGATTAAGACTCGGTGTGACAACAGTATAAAAGAGGGCAATGAACTTGCCCTGATCAGGAGAATTTTCTGATGGTGGCTGGAGATACATGCACATGACTGGAATGAAAAAGAGAGATACAACCATAAGATGGGCTCCACATGTCCTAAACACTTTCTGAAGCCCAGTGGTTGATTGCATGCTCAGTACAGCCCGGGCAATGGCACCATAGGCAGTGAGAATCAGAATGAGAGGTATGAGAACAAAAATGGAGCTCATGACCATGAGGGTCAGCTCATTTGCATGGGTGTCAACACATGATAAACGCAGAAGTGCTGGAACTTCACAGAAGAAGTGATCCACTAGGCGATGTCCACAAAGGGGTACCCAGAAAGTAAAGGAGGAATGAAGTGCTGAGATAGTAAAACCAATTACCCAAGAAGCCGCAGCCAACAAGTGGCAGAAACGAGGGTGCATGAGGACAGTGTAATGCAAAGGTCTACACACAGCTACATAACGATCATACGACATCACCACCAGTAGGACACACTCTGCGATTCCCAGTGCAAGAACAAAGTAAAGTTGAACCATGCAACCAGCATACGAGATGGTCTTTTCCGGGCCCCGGAGATTCACCAGCAACTGAGGGATAGAGCTGGTGGTGTGGCAGAGATCCAGAAATGAGAGGTTTGAAAGGAAGAAGTACATTGGTGTGTGGAGATGGGAGTCCACGTATGACAGGATGATGATGAACAGGTTTCCTGTCAGTGTCATCAGGTAGAAGATCAAGATAACCACAAAGAGAACTACTTCCAGCTGAGGCCAATTAGAAAATCCAAGTAGAATAAAGAAGTCTTCCGAACTTGCATTTTTTTTAATCATCATTCATCTTTTTCTTATACCTAAAGAAAGAACCACATAAACTCAAAGTCTGTCCATGCATTGTCAACCGCTCACTTGCAAACAGATTGAAGACAAAAGTATCCCACTTCCAGAGAGTGTGCACCATAATGGTAGTAGAATTTTTATACAGTTCCCTTTATATGCTTCATTGAGATATTTATCCAGCTACAGATACAAGCAATAGCTTCTCAAGTTACTGAGTTCTTTATATACATCCCTGAATTAACATTTGGATTAATGAAGACTAAGATAGTCCATAATCAGGAACACAATATTTATGAAAAATGATTTTTTACTTTAAAAAGTCAAATTATTTTTATATTTTCAGGCTATTTCCAATTTTGCAATTACAGAGAAAGGAATAACAGCAGTCTTACTGATCTTACTTATAGATAGGAATTTCCCATATTAAAAAGCAATTAGATAGTCACTTTAAAATATTAACTGAAAAGAAATAATTGAATATGATTATAGAAAGAATCAAATGCTATTTATGCTAGCAGTTTATTTCTAGACAAATAAAATAATGCACAAATCAAAGTTTAAAGAGAATATGCACGCACACACCAACTTATAAAAATTCACAATATACACAAAGCTGATTAATACAGCAAAATAGAGTGATCGGTGATAGAATGCTTCCAAAGGTAAATGAGACTATATTACTGGAAGACATAAAGATTACAGAGTCTAACAAAAACATAGGTTGGTAAGAGAGAAATGGAGAGTGTTTGGATGCACAACAGTGAAGAGAGGTCTGAATGTGGTATGCGAAGTTGAAAGAATGTATAACAAGTTTGTTAGACAAGGACAAGAAGACTTAAACATGGTTTCTACAAAACTGTATATGCTTTAGGCCAATAACTGAACTATACTTTAAATTCTGAGTCACAATTTATAATTTGTATTTTCTGGGTTTTCCACAATTTTTAATGGAGCTTCTGAACAGACATTAACTAATATTAGTAGAAAGATACGTGAACATTGTATAAAATCCAGAAAATTCACCTTGTAGTTATTTTTTTAAAATGAAGAAATTCAAATATGCTTTGATAGCTTGATTTTCAGTTGCTTATTTTCTCTTGCACATTACCAATCTTGCATGAGAAAGATAAACACTCTTTTATGATATAGTTTTTGCAATAAAATACAGGAACCCAGCATTTCAATATTCCTAAATAGTTTTGCCATCCCCCTTCTGCTCCCCTCCTGCCACAGCCAACTCTTCCTCTTATACTCTCTGATAAATTTGGCAAAAGAGGCCAGGCGTGGTGGCTCATGCCTGTAATCTCAGCATTTTGGGAGGCCGAGGCAGGTGGAACACCTGAGGTCAGGAGTTCGAGACCAGCCTGACCAACGTGGTGAAACACCATCTCTACTAAAAAATACAAAAATTAGCCAGGCAGGCATGGTAGTGGGCACCTGTAATACCAGCTACTCTGGAGGCTGAGGCAGGAGAATCGCTTGAACCCAGGAGGCGGAGGTTGCAGTGAGCTGAGATCATGCCATTGCCCTCCAGCCTGGGTGACAGAGCAAGACTCTGTCTCAAAAAACTAATATCTACACCCGACTCACCTTCAGTGTTTTGAAAAACTTTTAATAACTCAAATATTGTAATCTTGACTCTTGAAAAAGATGTAAGGAGTTGCCTAACTGGTTGAGTTACAGCTGGAGAGCTAGGAACATTGAACTTGGGCCAAATCTGTGCAAATGCTCCAGACTGGTACAAAGATACTGTACATTTTTCCATATTGTTGGTAATGGAATGAGCATTAACCTTTTGAGAAATCATGGGAAAATTCCAAGGATTTTTTTAAATCTCCCTAAGATGAAAGGTAATATGCCATAAGATACTTGAACTCAAATGCTGTGGATACTTTTGCTGATGCCGACCTAATTTTCTTTCCTAATGCAGCTGCCTGAGTTCCTTATTACAGTAATTAAAAGGTGGAATCTGATAACTATCTGTTATATGACCCATCTTTCAGCATTCCTCCGGAGTTGATAAAAGGGATAGGAAATAAGGGACAAAAAAACCCCCAGAACTCATGTAGAGAAAAGTCTCAGCTTCAATTTTCTTCTTGGTGGAAAAGAGGGAAATGAAGACCCTATCAAATGTAGCTTTTATGAGTTGTAGAATAAAATATCTTCTCTCTTTTTTTAAATCAAATACTATAGGGAAAATGGATGGCTGAGTGTCTCTTCCTTCCCCAATTATTATTAAGAGACATTATGCCAATTTGTGTCACATCCATTCCTTTATACTATATCTGGTTTGTTTTCTTAATTTTTCATTGACTAGTAATAATTGTATATATTTATGGAGTACACTGTAATGTTTTGATGTATATATACATTATAGAATGATTATATTAAGCTAGTTAACATATCCATCACCCCACAACCATCATATTTTTGTAGTAAGAACATTTAAAATCTACACTTTCTGCAATTTTGAAATATGGAAGCTGTCTACCCCTTAAGAAGTGCACCAACTTCTTTCAGTACTGACCTTCCTGTGTTTGTCCCTGTTCCCTGTCACTCTCTACCTGGCCTACAACCTCATCAGGTATAAACTGATGAAGGGGCTCTCTGGTTGCCATACAACCTAAAAACATCAACCTAATTGCCTTCTTATAACATTTTTGCCAATGTTTTAAATCTAACTATGAAGAACAGAGTCTGGAAATAACTGTGATTGTCATTGCTACAGAAAAGAGAGCCTGAGTTTGTCCAAAAGATCTGCTTTTTAGCAGAATGTGGGAATACTTTAGGGCATTCAAGGTATCACGGGATGGACCCTTTATCCCAGAGCAAATGTAATCTTTATGGAAACAAAAAGAATAACGGGATACTCTTTCATTGACTGCAGCCTTTGGGAGTATAAATCCCAAAGCTGCAATTAATGCCCTTCAAGGAGTTGTCCTGGTATGATGTTCTCAGTACAAAACTCTTCACAGAAATATCTTCAGCATGATGTTATACTCTTACTGAGATGACAGTGAATTTGTCACCAACAAACATGGGAAAAGATGCTGTGAGTAACATTTACAATGAAAGGAAGAGGTTTTACTGAGCCGTCCGATTTTTTTTTTCAGTTTCCCGTGGGGCTAAGGCTCAAATGTACAAGACAACTGGAAAAAAAGGAGAGATTTGAGAGTCATTCAACAGAAAAACTAGAATACATAAAGACTAAACTGCATATCTGTTCCTTATTAATGAGGGGCTCTTTGAGACTGACCTATATTATTTATGCCTTCCCAGTTGTCTTTTAAATTCAATTCCAAGATTTTTCCTGCAAAATGTTAAAAAAATCTTAAATATTACTCCAATCTTTTATTATTTTAATTGACAAATAATTTTATATATTGATTAGATACAATGTGATCTTTTGATATATGTATATGTGCAATATGGAATGATTAAGTCCAGCTAACACAGTCATCACCTCACATACTTATTTTTCTTATAGTGAGAACATTTAAATCTACTTGTTTAAAATCCCCCCTTTCTCCATCCCCTGCCCCCCAGGTAGCTATCATTCTACTCTCCACTTGTATGAGTTTATCTTTTTTAGATTCCACATAAGAGTGAGATCATGTGGTATTTGTCCTTCTGTGTCTGGCTTCTTTCACTTCGCATAATGTCCTGCAGGTTCATGAATGTTGTTGTAAAGACAGAATTTCCCTTTTTTCTTTAAGGCTGAATAGTATTCCATTTTATATAGATAATGTGGTTCATATATATCACATTATATCCCTTTTATATATTTATCTGTTTATCCGTTGATGGACATTTAGGTTCCTTTCATACCTCAGCTATTGTGAAAAATGCTACAATGAACATGGTAGTGCAGATATCTGTAGTGAATTCTTATGAGTTTATGTTACCTCAGCGTTCATTTTCAATATATAATTGAACTTCCTCATGCCAGAAGCAGGACTTAGTCACCCTTATCACAATTTTGAGTTCTCCTCTCCCAGTTTCTTCAGGTGGTCAATCCAGATATTTGGCCTCTTGGTTTCCACCTCCGTGTGGGACACCTAGATACAACCTACTTGACTTATCCCACTGATCCCCACACCCCACATGGACTGCAGATTTGCAGCAGTGAACACCTCTCAATACAACTTAACTCCCAAGAAATCATGCCTGCTTGCTCTAAACCCAGCAATCAGTTACTCCCTGCTTGGATAATGCTGTGTACTCCAATAAGGGCTTTGGCTTTCTGGTCTGTCACTCACTCTCTCTCGCTACCCACCCACTGGTTGCACATGCATGTCTCTAAGGGATGCCCTTTCTCCCATTAGGCCTGTGAGGCAAGTTGCCCTCTTCTCTCTGGAATCTTTAAGTAATAAAACTACTTATACTATTTTTTTTTATGTGTCTTCTTGGCGTCTCACCTGACACACCTAAAATTAATTTTTTTTTCTGGACAAGGCTCCCTTAGAGAGTGGCAATCTTGGTAGGAATGAACTGGACACACTAGTCAGACAAAAGCCACAATGGTGTCTGCCAGTGAAAACAAGTTTCCAGTGAGAGGGACACCTGGTCATAAATAGGACAATTAGGCATTAGCTCTCCATCAGGATAAGGAAGTATTCCATGAAAAGAACACCGAAAACATCCACAACCACAACCACCTCCACTGGAGCCCATCAGAGCCAGGCTAGAGTTTCTAGCCACTCTTCAAAGAGAGACGTTAAAACCAAATTAGAGGAAAATCTACCCATTTTTTTTTTTTTTGAGATGGAGTCTTGCTCTGTAGCCCAGGCTGGAGTGCAGTGGCATAATCTCAGCTCACTGCAAACTTGGCCTCCCAGGTTCAAGCAATTCTCCTGTCTCAGCCACCTGAATAGCTGGGACTACAGGTGCAAACCACACCCGGCTAATTTTTTTTGTATTTTTAGTAGAGATGGGGTTTCACCATATTGGTCAGGCTGGTCTCTAACATATTTTTAAAATACAAATTTCAATCTCTTTGGCTATGTATCCAGAAATATAATTGCTAGATCCTATGGTAATTCTATCTTTAGTTTTTTGAGGAATCTCCATGCTGATTTCAATAATGCCTGTATTAATTTACATTCCTGCCATTAGTATATAAGGATTCCCCACATCCTTGTCAGTACTTATTACCTTTTAGTTTATTGATAATAGTCATTCTAACAGGTATGAGGTGATATCTCTTTGTTTTGTTTTAATTTGCATTTCCCTGATGATTAGTGATGTAGACACTTTTTTATATATCTATTGGTCTTTTGAAAGATGTCCATTCAAGTCCGTTGCTCAGTTTTAAATGGCGTTATTTGTTTTCTTGCTAACAAATTTAAGTTGTTTGCATTTCTTACATATTTTGGATATTAGCCATGTATGGTTTGTAAATATTTTCTCCCAGTCCATGGGTTGTCTCTTCAATCTGTTATTTACTTTGTTGTAGAGAAGCTTTTGGTTTCAGGTAATCCCATTTGTCTACTTCTGCTTTGGTTTCCTGAGCTTTTGAGATCATCACCAAGAAAGTATTGCCAAGATTAATTTCAGGGACATTTTTCCCTATGCTTTCTTCTAGTAGTTTTACATTTTCAGGTCTCGCATTTAAATCTTTAAACCATTTTTAGTGGGCTTTTTACACATGGTGTGAGATAAGGGTTCAATTTCATTCTTCTGTATGTGGGTATTTGATTTCCCCTGCATCATTTATTAAAGAAACTGTCCTTTCCCCATAGTGTGTTTATTCTTGGCATCTTCGGCAAAAATCAATTAATCACAAATGCATGAGTTTATGTCTGGGCTCTCTATCACATTACATTGGTCCATGTGTCTGTTGTTATGCCAGTACCTTTCTGTTTTGAATACTATAACTTTGTAATATATCTTTAATCAGGTAGTGTGATGCCTCCAGCTCTGGTCTTTTTGCTCAAAAGTGCTTTAGCTACTTAAGATTTTTGTCATTCCATATGAATTTTTGAATTGCTTTTTCTATTTCTGTGAAACAAAAAGGTCATTAGAACTTTTATAGGAATTGCATTGAATCTGTATACCACTTTCAGCAGCACAGACATTTTAATAATATTAATTCCTCCAATCCATGAACCATCAGGTTCTGGGCTTTTCTTTGCTAGGACACTTTTATCACTGATTCAACCCCCTTACTCATTAGTCTGTTCAGATTTTCTATTTTTTCATGATTCATTGTTGTTATGTTTCTGGAAATCTAACCATTTCTTCTAGGTCATCCTATTTGTTGGTGTAAAATTGTTCGTAGTATTCTTTTATGATCTTTTGTACTTGCGTAGTTTCAATTTTAATGTCTCCTCTTTCATTTCTTATTTTATTAGAGTCTTCTTTTTTTTCTTAGTTGGTCTGCTAAAGTTTTGTCAATTGTTTTTATCTTTTCAAAAACTGAACTGTTAGTTTTGCAAATGTGTTCTTTTGTTTTCTAATCTCTTACTTATTTCTGCTCTGATCTTTGTTATTTCCTTCCTTCTGCTAACTTTGGGATTAGTTTGCTCTTCTCTTTTTCTAGTTTCTTGAAATGTAACATTAGGTTGTTTGAGATCTTTCTTCTTTTTCAATATCGGCATTTATTACTATAAACTTTCCTCCTGCTAAGAACTTCTTTTGTTACATCCCATAAGTTGTGGTACGTTGCATTTTCATTTTCATCTGTCTTAAGATATTTTTTAACTTCCCTTTGATTTCTTCATTAACCCATTGTTTATTCAAGAGCATGTTGGTTAATTTCCACATTTGTAATATTTTCAAATTTTCCCCTATTATTTATTTCTATTCATTTCTACTTTCATAATTTTGTGGTCAGAAAAGATACTTGATATAATTTCAATCTTCTTAAAATTGTTGAGTCTTATTTTGTTACCTAATATTTGATCCTGGATAATGTCTCATTTGCACTTGAGAAGAATGAATATTCTGTTGCTGTTGGATGAAATGTTCTATAACGTCTTTAGGTCCATTTGGTCCAAAGTGTATGTCAAGTCTAGTGTTTCCCTATTGATTTCTGTCTAGATGAAAAAATTGTTCATCATTACTAATCATCAGAGAAATGCAAATCAAAACCACAATGAGATATCATCTAACACCAGTCAGAATGGCTGCTATTTAAAAGTCAAAAAACAACAGATATTGCGGAGGCTGCAGAGAAACGTGAACGCTTATACACTGTTGGTGAGAATGAACATTAGTTCAGCCACTGTGGAAAGCAGTTTGGAGATTTTCCAAAAGAACTAAAAACAGAGCTACCATTGGACCCAGCAATACCATTCCTGCGTATTTAGTCAAAGGAAAATATATCATTATACCAAAAGAACACACGCACTCATGTTCATGGCAGCACTATTCACAACAGCAGAGACATAGGCCTGCCCATCAGTGGTGGATTGGATAGAGACAATGTGGAGTTCCGGCAGAGACCCGGGTGGGACGCGCTGACCATGGGCCTGCGGAGGGGCTGGGGGTTCAGGACCTCCCGCAGCCTCTGCCCTGCAGGCTCCAGGTGCCCTCGCTGTGGCTCCCCTCGCGGGCCCAGGCCTGAAGAAGCCGCGAACCTCTCTTCCCTACCCCACCTCCGTGACTGATGGCAGCTCCTCTCTCAGCCCAGACCCCGCCGGCCTCCATGTCTCCCGGCCCAGCCCTGCGGGGCCTAAACTAAGCCCCTGCCGAGCTGCTAGGATGCAGCGCATTTGAGTGGCTGCGGGCGTGGGGGGCCGGGAAGCATGGCGACCGCCCCAACTCGCAGCGGAGGCCGTTAGGGTGTGGAGGGCGCGGGAAGGTGGGTCGCCTGCCACCGGGGCGCGGGCAGATCGGACCGCTCTGTCCCAGCTGGTCGAGACCGACCTAGTCCTGACGACAGGAACAACGGCATTAACAACGGCCGGAAGGTGAGCAGTGTCCCAGACAACGACGGATAGCGGCCACCTGGCCACTGGTCTTCCTTCTCTACCAGACCTGGATGTGGGAAGAGAGAAGTGGTGGAACAGGCCACATTTGGCGTATTGGAGATGCCCACTACCCTTTGGGAAGATTTAATTACCACCGTTTATAGAAGGCCCTGCGTGTGTAAAGTGAGAAAGCGGTTCTCAACTGCCCCCGCCCCAACTTTTAAATAGAAAACATTTGCCACATTTAGCCCTTCTAGATGGAAAGAGGTTGTGATGTATGATAAAGTTAGAAAATCACACATCTTATAAATTCTCATTTGTTCAAAAAGAAATGATAGAAAATAGATGTCTTCTGGAAATGGCTTTTCGCAATGGAATTGTTGGACCACTTCTGGAAGCCATACCAGGAACGACAGACACAACCACATTTGTTCAGTGGGTTAGAGGGCATGAAGAAGAAGACCTGAGAAGGAAAAGAAGAAGGTTCTGTGCCAGACTAGTCATATTCAGAAGACATTCTCATATTCTTTCCATTGTTTTGTGTGCGTTTTATTCCCTACTACTGTATAGATCATTGACAATGCTACACTTTTTTGAAATGTCTAGTGTTTCTAGATGTTCTGAGGTGCCTGATATATGTTTAAACTAGAAGTAGTAAAATAACACATCTTGTAAGTATCTTTTTGTTAAAATTCGAATGAAACATTGTTTTAGGGGGAAGGGCCAAACCACAAGTTGAGTAATATGCATTGTATTATGCGCCAGTTCAGGAGAGGAGGAGGAGGAGGCTGTGCAGAGAGCTCTGTGCCACCAGTGTGCTTACAGTGAGGCAAGATTAACCATTATATCTTATGTTTGTGCATTTTCTTTTACTTATCTATGTATAAAGTGTATATAGAGGAAAACAAGTCCTAATTTACATCTAGTCTTTCTAGATGTTATGGAGGTTGCCAGTGAATTACAAAAGTAGAGTTAGCAAACTAATATTTTTGTACATTTTGTTTTTAAATTCCTAGGGAAGATTGTCTTCTGAAAACTTGAGCATTCTTGCCCACTGGGTTGATGGAGATGGAAAGATTTTTAGGCCAGAATGTTCACATTTGGAAGACTCCTTCAAATTATAACTATTGTTACATGTATGCAGTTTATTCAAGGCTGCAGTGTACATAGTGGACAGATTAACTTCTTACCTGAAACCGCTAGTCTATTTAGATGTTTAGAAGGGCCTGATGTATGTTAAATGTAGAGGTAGCAAAATTTCACTTTGTAAATGTCTTTTTGCTGAAATTCATAGGAAATACTGTGTTTTGGAAATTGAATTATTAAGCCATCTTTGTGAGTGGTATAGTACTGTCTATACTTGCTCAGTAGTTTAGAGGAGCTGGGACGGATGAAACTGCAAAAGGTAACATGCTAGTGTGCTCATACTTGCACATTTTCAGGCACCATTTTTCTGTATGTTTTGTGCATTGTGTTTTGCTCTGTATATAGCGCATATAATGAACAAATGAGTCCTAATTTTGCAACATCTAGTCTCTAGATGTTAAAGAGGCTGGCAGTGTATGACAAAGTACTTAGTAAAATTAGCACTTTTTGTAAGCTTTGTGTTGAAATTCATAGGAAACCTTGTCTTCTGTAAATAACTTTTGGATCTAAATTTGTTCAACCATTTCTAAAGTATGACACATGCCTATACTTGTCTACTGAAATAAAGGCAGAGAGAAGAAAGGAAGGACTACTTCAAGGCCAAAATGGTCATGTTTAGAAGATACCTCAGATTATAACTGTTGTTATGTGTGTGCAATTTTATTTAACAGTGCCATGTACATGGTGGACAAGTTATATGAAATATTTAATCTTTCTAGATATTTGGAAGTGCTTGGTGTATTTAAAAATAGAAGTAGTAGAATAACACTTTCTGTAAATATCTTTTAAAAGTAATGAGAAATACTTTTTGGAACTGGCATTGTTGAACCACCTCTGTGAACAGCGTCCTCTCTGTACATGTTCATTGGGTTGAGGGAGATTGGAAGGAAGATATTGCAAAAAGTGTCTTGCTCTTGCGATAGTTTACTGAGAATGATGATTTCCAATTTCATCCAAGCCAAACACCGCATATTCTCACTCATAGGTGGGAACTGAACAACGAGATCACATGGACACAGGAAGGGGAATATCACACTCTGGGGACTGTTGTGGGGTGGGGGGAGGGGGGAGGGATAGCGTTGGGAGATATACCTAATGCTAGATGCGAGTTAGTGGGTGCAGCGCACCAGCGTGGCACATGTATACATATGTAACTAACCTGCACAATGTGCACATGTACCCTAAAACTTAAAGTATAATAATAAAAAATAAAAAATAAAAAGTGTTTTGCTAATGTTTACTAGAAAATTTCAGCTTAATCCATTACCTATATGTTACATGCATTGCATTTAACTTTGCTATACTGTATATATTGTGTGTATACTGGATGAAGTAGTCTTAATTTTATAATATCTAGTCTAGTCTCTAGATATTAAAGAGGTTGCCAATTTATAACAATTTATGAGAGTTAGTTTACTAACTCTATTTTTGTACACTTTGTTGAAATTCATAGAAAGGCTATCTTCTGAAAAGGACTTTTGGAAGTGAAATGATAACATCAGTTCTAAATGACACATATGCCTATATCCACTAGGTTGGTGGTAGAGAGGAGTTAGAAGGAATGAAAGATTTTAGACCAGAATGTTCCTATTTAGAAGACACTTTCAGATATAACCATTGTTACCTGTGTATATAGTGGACAAATTTAAGTCCTTATTTGAAACATCTAGTCTTTCTAGAAGTGCACAAAGTATGTTAAAAGTAGAGGGAGTAAATAACACTTTGTAGATATCCTTTTGATTCATATGAAATATTGTCTTTGGGAAATGGATCAAACCACTTATCTGAGCAGTACACATTACTATATGTGTGTTGGCTCAGGGAGGAAAGAGGAGCAGAAAGGGCAAAGGGTAATTGAAATACCAGTGTGTTTATGGTGAGGCACACTTTACCATTGTCCCTTATGTCTGCATTTTCTTTTACTGTGCTGTGTATATAGTGCATATAAGTGGACAAATTAGTCCTAATTTTCAACATCTAGTCTTTGTAGATATTAAGATGTTTCTAGTGTATGACAAAAGTAGAGTTAGTAAACTACTGTACTGAGTACACTTTTTGGTAAAATTCATAGGGAAGACTGTTCTTAAAAACACAAAAGGATGAAGCCGAAGACGGCCAAATAGGAGCAGTTCTGGTTTGCAGCTCCCAGCAAGACCAATCCAGATGGCAGGTGATTTCTGCATTTCCAACTGAGGTACCCCGTTCCTCTCATTAGGACTGGTTAGGCAGCAGGTCAAACCCATGGAGGGCAAGCAGAAGAAGGGTGGGGAGTTGCTTACCCAGGAAGTTCAAGAGGCCAGGGGACCTCTTTCCCCGAGCCAGGGGAGCCATGAGGGACAGTGCTGCCTAGCTTGTTACTACACTTTTTCCATGGTTTTTGCAATCTGTAGATCAGGAGATTCCCTTGTGTGCCTACACCACCAGGGCCTTAGGTTTCAAGCACAAAACTGGGTGGCCATTTGGGCAGACACAGAGCTAGATGAAGGAGTATTTTTCCTACCCTAGTGATGCCTGGAACCCCAGCGAGACAGAACCATTTACTCCCCTGGAAAGGAGGCTGAAGCCAGGGAGCCAAGTGGTCTCGCTCAGCAGGTCCCACTCCCACAGAACCTAGCAAGCTAAGAACCACTGGCTTGAAATTCTCACTGCCAGCACAGCAGTCTGAAGTCAACCTAGGACAATTGAGCTTCATGGGATGAGGGACGTCTGCCATTACTGAGGCTTTAGTAGGCCATTTTCCCTGACAGTTCCAAGGAGTCTCGGAGGTATGGACTGGCAAATTCATCACAGTGCAGCAAAGCAGCTGTGGCCAGACTGCTTCTCTAGATTCCCCCTCACTGGGCAGGGCATCTCTGAAAGAAAGGTAACAGCCCCAGTCAGAGGCTTACAGACAAAACCCCCATCTCCCTGGGACAGAGCACCTGGGGAAGAGGTGGCTGTGGGCACAGCACAAGCAGATTTAATCGTTCCTGCCTGCCTGCTCTGAAGACAGCAGCTGATCCTGACAAGAGGGATTCTCCCAGCACAGCACACCAGTTCTCTTAAGGGACACACTCCCTCCTCAAGTGGGTCCCTAACCCCCATGCCTCCTGACTGGGAGACAACTCCCAACAGGGCTTGACAGAACCTCACACAGGAGAGCTCCAGCTGTCATCAGGCCAGTGCCCTTCTGGGACGAAGCTTCCAGAGGAAGGAGCAGGAAGCAATCTTTGCTGTTCTACAGCCTCTGCTGGTGATACCCAGGCAAACAGGGTCTGGAGTACACTTCCAGCAAACTGCAGCAGACCCGCAGAAGAGGGGCCTGACTGTTATAAGGAAAACTAACAAACAGAAACAACGTCAACATCAACATAAAGGACCGTCACACAAAAACCCCATCCAAAGTCATCAGCCTCAAAGATCAAAGGTAGATAAATCCACAAAGATGAGGAAAAACTAGCATAAAAACGCTGAAAATTCCAAAAACCAGAATGCCTCTTCTACTCAAAATGATCTCAACTCCTCTCCAGCAAGGGCACAAAACTGGAGAAGGAGATTGATGAATGACAGAAGTAGGCTTCACAAGGTGTGTAATAACAAACTCCTGTGAGCTAAAGGAGCATGTTCTAACCCAATGCAAGGAAGCTAAGAACCTTGATAAAAGGTTACAGAAACTGCTAACTAGACTAGCCAGTTTAGAGGAGAACATAAATGACCTGAGGAGCTGAAAAACACAGCACGAGAACTTTGTAAGATATACACAAGGATCAATAGCCAAATCGATCAAGCAGAAGAACGGATATTAGAGACTGAAGACCAACTTACTGAAATAAGGTGTGAAGACAAGATTAGAGAAAAAAGAATGAAAAGGAACAAACAAAGCCTCCAGGAAATATGGGACTATGTGAAAAGACCAAACTTATGTTTGATTGGTTTACCTGAAAGTGACGAGAAGAATGGAACCAAGCTGGAAAACAGCTTCAGGATATTATCCAGGAGAACTTCCACAAGGTAGCAATACAGGCCAACATTCAAATTCAGGAAATACGAGAACACCACTAAGATACTGCTCGAGAAAAGCAACCCCAAGAAACGTAATTGTCAGATTCTCCAAGCTTGAAATGAAGGAAAAAAAGTTAAGGGCAGCCAGAGAGAAGGGTCAGGTTACCTATAAAGGGAAGCCCATCAGACTAACAGCATATCTCTCTGCAGAAACCCTACAAGCCAGAAGAGAGTGGGGGCCAATATTCAACATTCTTAAAGAAAAGAATTTTCAACCAAGAATTTCATCTCCAATGCGCCAAATGTGGCCTGTTGTTCCACCACTTCTCTCTTCCCACATACAGGTCTGGTAGAGAAGGAAGACCAGTGGCCAGGTGGCCGCTATCCGTCGTTGTCTGGGACACCGCTCACCTTCCGGCCGTTGTTAATGCCGTTGTTCCTGTCGTCAGGACTAGGTCGGTCTCGACCAGTTGGGACAGAGCGGTCCGATCTGCCCGCGCCCCAGTGGCAGGCGACCCACCTTCCCGCGCCCTCCACACCCTAACGGCCTCCGCTGCGAGTTGGGGCGGTCGCCATGCTTCCCGGCCCCCCACGCCCGCAGCCACTCAAATGCGCTGCATCCTAGCAGCTCGGCAGGGGCTTAGTTTAGGCCCCGCAGGGCTGGGCCGGGAGACATGGAGGCTGGCGGGGTCTGGGCTGAGAGAGGAGCTGCCATCTGTCACCGAGGTGGGGTAGGGAAGAGAGGTTCGCGGCTTCTTCAGGCCTGGGCCCGCGAGGGGAGCCACAGCGAGGGCACCTGGAGCCTGCAGGGCAGAGGCTGCGGGAGGTCCTGAACCCCCAGCCCCTCCGCAGGCCCATGGTCAGCGCGTCTCACCCGGGTCTCTGCCGGAACTCCACATTGTCTCTATCCAATCCACCACTGATGGGCACCTAGGTTGGTTCTATGTCTCTGCTATTGTGAATAGTGCTGCCATGAACATGAGTGCGTGTGTCCTTTTGGTATAATGATATATTTTCCTTTGACTAAATACGCGGTAATGGAATTGCTGGGTCCAATGGTAGCTCTGTTTTTAGTTCTTTTGGAAAATTCTCCAAACTGCTTTCCACAGTGGCTGAACTAATGTTCATTCTCACCAACAGTGTATAAGCGTTCGCGTTTCTCTGCAGCCTCCGCAATATCTGTTGTTTTTTGACTTTTAAATAGCAGCCATTCTGACTGGTGTGAGATGGAATCTCATTGTGGTTTTGATTTCCGTTTCTCTGATGATTAGTAATGATGAACAATTTTTTCCATATGTTTATTGGTCACCTTTATGTCTTCTTTTGAGAAGTGTCTGTTCATCCTTTGTCATTTGTTAATTTTTTAATGGGGTTATGTTTGTTGATTTAAGTTCCTTATAGATTCTGGATATTAGACCTTTGTTGTGTGCATAGTTTGTGAATCTTTTCTCACCTTCCGTAAGTTGTCTGTTTATTCTATTTATAGTTTCTTTTGCTGTGCGGAAGCTCCTTAGTTTAATTTGTATTTATGGATAGTAAAGATAACTAGCATTTGAGTTTGTATAAAGATAAGATGATAAGTATTGAGTTGAGGTGAAGCAACTAATGTCACAGAAGTTAGAAATATTTTGCCACATTGTAAGCTCTATTTGACTTTTGACTTTGTGTAGTAGATATAGATAGCATGAAAGCCTTAATTTTTCGCTTTTCTTGCTAGTAAGGTTATGTTTGCTTAGAGTGACCATTTAAAGTGTGTTTAACATAACATTACTGTTGAAAAACATTCCATTACATGTCCACAAGCAAATTAACTGCACATTTTAAATTGTATTTTACAATACAGTACAAATATTTTAGACCTCAATCTTATCTTCAATTCACTGGTATTTTAAGTTTTGCAATGAATATGAAGTTACTTTTTAGCTTACAGACTCCTTGTATTGTTATTTAAAATGCTTGTTACTATTGTAGGAAGGTTGAAGGCTTCATCTTTTTTTGAGTTAATATTTAAATTCTTATTACTTACTTTGATAGTCTCTAATTAAAAAAAGTAGTATGCAGGCAATTAAACAAATCAGTATATGCATTCAAGAATTTAAAACAATTTTACATTTTGTCATCATTGGGATTAAATTTTGGCCGGGTGTTCACTTTCAATATATATGTATGAACAATTTAATTATGAAGTGAAATAGTCTTAAGTCTGATATATGATGCACCCGCATATAAATTAAAATGGCACACACAAAGACACTTTACTATGGGAACTGTATTGGAAGATTTATGAAATTTTAGGTAAAATTGAACCTAAAATTTTGTTATTAGTGACTATAAGTAGCAATGCTTAATTTATTGTACTTGATGAATGAATGTATTTAGGTTAGCCATAGTTACTTTGGTTTAAATGTCGAAATCATGTCTTTATTTTAAAAATGTATTTGTAATTTGTACTATCAACGGGGGATATTATTGGACTGCAGAGGTTGTGGCAATGTGTGATTTGTGTTTCCTTATTTTATAGAATTATCTAATGTGATATACTAGTTTTTACAGGTAATATTTAGATATTTCTAATAATTGTATATTTGACAACCTACTAAAATGCTTTGCATTGGAAAGAAAATGAAAAACTATATGCAGACGTAGGCTGCCTGTAAGAGGTTCACTTTAACTTGAAGAACACACATTGATTGAAAAAATTATTTCATGCAAGTGGAAAGCAAAAGACAAGGGTAGCTGTACTTTTATGAGATGAACTTTAAGTCCAAAACTGTTAAAAGAGACAAAGAAGGTCATTATGTAATGATAAAAGGGTCAATTCATGAAAAGGACTTAACAATTGTAAATATATATGCACCTAATATAAGATCACCTATACATATAAAGAAAGCATTAGTAGACCTGAAAAGAGATAGACTGCAATACAATAATAGCAGAGGATTTCAATACTTTACTTTCAACAGTGGATATATCATCTAGACAAAAATCAATAAGGAAACACTGGACTTGACATACACTTTAGACCAAGTGGACCTAACAGACATATATAGAACATTCCATCCAACAGCAACAGAATATTCATTCTTCTCAAGTGCAAATGGGACATTATCCAAATAAGGTAACAAAATAAGACTCAACAGTTTTAAGAAGACTGAAATCATATCAAGTATCTTTTCTGACCACAAAAGTATGAAAGTAGAAATGAATAGAAATAAATAATACGATAAAATTTGAAAATATTACATACGTGGAAATTAACCAACACGCTCTTGAATAAACAAAGGGTTAATGAAGAAATCAAAAGGGAAATTAAAAAATATCTTAAGACAGATGAAAATGAAAATGCAACGTACCACAACTTATGGGATGTAACAAAAGAAGTTCTTAGCAGGAGGAAAGTTTATAGTAATAAATGCCGATATTAAAAAAGAAGAAAGATCCCAAACAAACAACCTAATGTTACATTTCAAGAAGCTAGAAAAAGAGAAGAGCAAACTAATCCCAAAGTTAGCAGAAGGAAGGAAATAACAAAGATCAGAGCAGAAATAAGTAAGAGACTAGAAAACAAAAGAACACATTTGCAAAACTAACAGTTCAGTTTTTGAAAAGATAAAAACAATTGACAAAACTTTAGCAGACCAACTAAGAAAAAAAAGAAGACTCTAACAAAATAAGAAATGAAAGAGGAGACATTAAAATTGAAACTACAGAAGTACAAAAGATCATAAAAGAATACTGCGAACAATTTTACACCAACAAATAGGATGACCTAGAAGAAATGGTTAGATTTCTAGAAACATAACAACAATGAATCATGAAAAAATAGAAAATCTGAATCAGTTAATCCAGGAGGTGGATTTTGAAAAGATCCACAAAATTGATGGACTGCTAGCAAGACTAATAATGAAGAAAAGAGAAAAATCAAATAGATCTATTAAAAAATAATAAAGGAGATATCACTACTGATCCCACAGAAATACAAATTCTCTTTTTTTTTGTTGTGTCTCTGACAGGCTTTGGTATCAGGATGATGCTGGCATCATAAAATGAGTTAGGGAGGATTCTCTCTTTTTCTATTGATTGGAATAGTTTCAGAAGGAATGGTACCAGCTCCTCCTTGTACCTCTGGTAGAATTCGGCTGTGAATCCATCTCGTTCTGGACTTTTTTTGGTTGGTAGGCTATTAATCATTGCCTCAATTTCATAACCTGTTAGTGGTCTATTCAGAGATTCAACTTCTCCCTGGTTTAGTTTTGGGAGGGTGTATGTGTCCAGGAATTTATCAATTTCTTCTAGATTTTCTAGTTTATTTCCATAGAGTTGTTTATAATATTTTCTGGGAAAACTGGCTAGCCACCATGTAGAAAGCTGCAACTGGATCCATTCCTTACACCCTATACAAAAATTAATTCAAGATGGATTAAAGACTTAAATGTTAGACCTAAAACCATAAAAACCCTAGAAGAAAACCTAGGCAATACCATTCAGGACACAGGCATGGGCAAAGACTTCGTGACTAAAACACCAAAAGCAATGGCAACAAAAGCCAAAATAGATGCATGGGATCTAATTAAACTAAAGAGCTTCTGCACAGCAAAAGAAACTACCATCAGAGTGAACAAGCAATGTACAGAATGGGACAAAATTTTTGCAATCTACCCAATTAACAAAGGGCTAATATCCAGAATCTACAAAGAACTTAAACAAATATACAAGAAAAAAATAAACAACCCTATCAAAATGTGGGCAAAGGATATGAACAAACACTTCTTGAAAGAAGACATTTATGCAGCCAACAGACACATAAAAAATGCTCATCATCACTGGTCATCAGAGAAATGCAAATCAAAACCACAATGAGATACCATCTCATACCAGTTAGAATGGCAATCATTGAAAAGTCAGGAAAGGACAGATGCTGGAGAGGATGTGAAGAAATAGGAACACTTTTACACTGTTGATGGGAACGTAAATTAGTTCAACCATTGTGGAAGACAGTGTGGTGATTCCTCAAAGATCTAGAACTAGAAATACCATTTGACCCAGTGATCCCATTACTGGGTATATACCCAAAGGATTATAAATCATGCTATTATAAAGACACATGGACACATATGTGTATTGTAGCACTATTCATGATAGAAAAGACTTGGAATGTCCATCAATGATAGGCTAGATTAAGAAAATGTGGCACATATACACCATGGAATACTATGCAGCCACAAAAAAGGGTGAGTTGATGTCCTTTGCAGGGACATGAATGAAGCTGGAAACCATCATTCCCAGCAAACTATCATGAGGATAGAAAACCAAAGACCACATGTTCTCACTCATAGGTGGGAATTGAACAATAAGAACACTTGGACACAGGATGGGGAACATCACACACTGGGGCCTGTTAGAGGGTGGGGAGCTGTGGGAGGGATAGCATTAGGAGAAATACCTAATGTAAATGACAGGTTGATGGGTGCAGCAAACCAACATGGCACATGTATACCTATGTAACAAACCTGCACATTGTGCACATGTACCTTAGAACTTAAAGTATAATAAAAATATTTTTAAAAAGATATTTGTTTTTTGCACCAGCTATACATCAGAACAGAATCTGGTGACTAAGAGGCTAAGAAACAGGGCTTATATGATTTTACATTTCTGGGGAGACAAATAATGGAAATTTTGGCCCATATAAATACCCAAGACTTTCAGCTAGAATGGGTGAATGGCTGCAACCTATGAATAACCATAGACTGAATATAGGCCAGCCCTAAAAATGACTGCAATCTAGAGTATATAATCACCTTTGCTGATGATAGCATATGCAAAATAAACTACATAATTTAAAGTATGCAAGTCAGTATTTTTATAGTTGTATATACCCATGATACCAATACCTCAATCAAGGTAGAGAACATTTCCATCACTCTCCAAAATCTATTTTGTCTTTTGATTTCAGACTTAGTCAACTACTACTCTAATTTATGCCCTCATAGATAAGTTTGCATGTTCTTGAATTCTTAGTGATAGATCTACATAGTGTGTATTATTTTGAGTCTTGCTTTCTGCATTCAGCAAAAATATTTTGAAATTCATCTAAAATGGTTGCAGGCCAGCACATTGTTTTGTTTTCATTACTAGTAATGTTCAATAATAAGGATATAGTATAATTTATTCATTACATCCGTTGACAGATACTTACAGTAATTCTAGGTTTTCGCCACAGTATTTTGAAAAAAGTGGCTATAAATATTCAGCACAGGTCTTCATTTGAGCAAATGTTTTTACTTCTCTTGAACAGATATTTAAGAGTTGAATGAATGGGCCATAAGGTATGTGTAACTTTTAAAGAAACCACAAAACAGTGTTCCAAAGTGTCTGTGTCATTTTACGCTCCTACCAGCAATGTATGTCCCAATTCTATCCACCCCATTCAAAATTAGGGATGTTTTCCTACTTTAATTACTTCCCAAAAGCAAAAATAAATTCTATCTAGAGGAGGATAACAACATTCCAAACTTTTAAAAAGTATATATTGTATAAATTGTATATATATAGAGTATAAATATGTATATATTGTATAAATAAATTGTGTAAAAAGTATGTATGTATATATTGTATAAATAAAAAGTACATATTGTATCAATTGTCATTTTGAAATAGATGCTGGAGAAATGGAGGAAAGAAGAGGTTATTAACTATTTCAATAATGCTCATTCTATCACTACCAAACCTGTCCTATGAGAACTGCTAAAGGAAGTTCACCAAACTGAAAGAATGTTAATGTGATTGTCATACTAAAAATGAAGTCATTATATTTAAACCACTTACCTATTTAGTAAGAAAACTAAAAACAATTTAAAATAATAACTACAACAATTTTTAAGAGATAGGCAATATAAAAAATGTAAATTGCAACATCAAAATTCAAAATATGGGTGAAGAATGGAGTTAATGTGTATAAGTTTTTAGTTGGAAGTTTGTTTTTATTTATGAGAGCAAAGTTAAGTTGCTATCAGTTTTATACTACATGTTATATTATAGGATACTTTTCGTAAGCCTCATGGACACCACAGTGCAAAAACTTATAATGGATACACTAACAATAAAAAGCAACAAATTAAAACATACTACCAGAGGAAAATAACAAGGAAAAAAGGAAAGAAGGAAGGAAGGAAGGAAGGGGAAGGGGAAGGGGAGGGAGAGGGGGAAAGAGAGAAAGAGAGGAAGGCAGGAAGGAAGGAAGGAAAGGAAGGAAGGAAGGAAGAGAGGAATTACGAAATTAGAAAACAAGTAACAAAATGGCAGTACTAAGGCATGAACTATCAAAAATAAAATTGAATGTAAACAGACTACATTCTATTTAAAAGACATACAATGGTTAAATGAATTAAAAACAAGACCAAATTATATGCTGCCTGCTGCCTGCCAGAAACTCTTCAATAAATAGTGCTGGCATAGCAGGCTAGCCATATGTAGAAGACTGGAATTGAACCTGTTCCTTTTACCATACACAAAAATAAACTCAAGATAGATTAAAGACTTAAATGTACAACCCAAATGTATAAAAACAATAGAAGAAATTCTAGGAAATACCATTCTGGACATCGACTTTCACGAAGACTTCAAGACGAGGACTCCAAAAGCAATCACAACAAAACCAAAAATTGACAAATAGAATATAATTAAACTAAAGAGCTTCTGCATAGCAAAAGAAACTATCAACGGAATACACACACAACTTACAGAATGGGAGAAAATATTTGCAAACTATGCATCTGGCAAAGGTCTAATATCCAGAATCTATAAGGAACTTAAACAAATAAAAAAGTGAAAAACAAACAACTCTATTTTTAAAACGAGCAAATGGCATGAACAGACACTTCTCAAAAGAAGATATACACATCTAACAAGTATATTAAAAAGTTCAATATCACTAATCACCAGAGAAATGCAAATCAAAACCACAATGAGATATTGTCCCACACCGGTCAAAATGGCTACTATTAAAAAGTTAGGAAATAACATTTGCTGGTGAGGTGGTGGAGAAAAGGGAACATTTATATACCACTGGTGGAAATGAAAACTAGTTCAGCCACTGTAGAAAGAAGTCTGGAGATTTCTCAAATAACTTAAAATAGAACTACCACTTGATCCAGCAATCCCATTACTAGGTGTATAACCAAAGTAATATAAATCATTCTGCCATAAAGCAATATGCATGCAGATTTTCAGTGCAGCACTATTTACAATATCAAAGTCACAGAATCAACCTAGTTGTCCATCAGTGGTGGACTGGATACAGAAAACATATATACCACAGAATACTATGCAGCTATAAAAAACGAGACTTTGGTCTTTGCAGTAATAGGGATGGAGCTGGAAGCTATCATCCTAAGCAAATTGGTGAAGGAATGGAAACCCCAGTATGGCATGTTCTCACTTATAATTGGGAGTTAAATATTGAGTACATAAGGACACAAAGAAAAGAACAATAGAAACTGGGGCCTATGATGGGGGAGGTGAGGATCAAAACCAACCCATTGGTTACCACACTTATTACATGGGTGACAAAATAATCTGTACACCAAACCCATGTGACACACAATTTACCTATATAACAAACCTGCACAGGTACCCTGAACCTAAAATTAAAGTTTAAAAAAAAAGAAAAGCTACTTAATGGGTATAATGCTAATTCCCTGGGTGACAAAATTATCTGTACACCAAACCCCCATAACAAAAAATTTACTGATGTAACAAACCTGCACATGTACCACTTGAACCTGAAATACGTTGTGCACATGTACCCTAAAACTTAAAGTATAATAAAAAAAATTAAAAATAAAAAAAAGCAAAAAAAAAAATTGGAAAGAAAAAAAAGAACCTCACTTCACCTATAGAAACACACAAAGAATGCAACACCAGTGTCTAGCAAGAGAAGGATGGATAAAGAAAATGTAATATATATACATGATGGAATATCATTCAACCATAAAAAATAATGAAATCCTTTCATTAGTAGCAACATGGATAAAATTGGAAGTCATTATGTTAAGTGAAATAAACCATGAACAGAAATACAAATATATCATGTTCTCACTGGTATGCAGGAGCTAAAAAAAGTGGATCTTATGAAGGTCAAGGGTAGAATGGTGCTTATCAGAGTCTGCAAATGGATGCAAGGAAAAACAGATGAAAAAGAGTTTGTTAGTGGGTACAAAAATAGAGTTAGATACAAGGAATAATTTTTAGTATTTGATAATACAGTAGAGAAAATACAACTAACATTTATTAATATTAGCATAACATATATTGTATATTTCAAAATAGCTAGAAAAAAATTGTAATTTTCACAACACAAAGTGTTTGTGGTGATAGATATTATAATCACTCTGATTTAATCATTACACATTGTATATGTGTAAGAAAACACATCTACCCCAAAATATGTACAACTATAATATATTGAAAAATTAAATAAATAAATAAATATAGTGCTCATTTTAGAAAACCAATCAATGATGCCTAAAAGAGGGACTAATGTGTAAATATAAGCATCAAAACAAAAAAAATCAAATCTCCTGAAATACCAAAATACCAAAAAAGAATGAAAAGTGAAATATTTTATATACCTTTTATAAAGATATATGTATAAACTTATAAAGATATGTCTTTAATTTACCTGGCTGGGGCTTTTTGGAAGACTTCATTCATGAGTCTGTCTGTATTTGACCATGACTCAGACCTCGACCAATGCAAAAAGCATTTTCTCAGCAGGTATTTGTTGAAAATAATTTCAAGTGACTGCTTTAACTTCACTTCTGACTAAAGCAATTGATAAAAGTTGGGGCAGACCATAAAGCAATAAAAGAGCTTAAAAAATGTAAGGAATGGGATGTCTATAGGGATTTTGAAAATCTTTGCCATATGCCAGGAATTTCATGTATATGCATATGGCTGTGTTCAGATTCAGGACTCTATAAATGCTCAAGCAAGAACTGAGAAGATTCTAAACTCTTGTCTCTGGCTGACCTTCAGTATTTCAGGAAGAAGTAAGTGGAGGCTAAGGTAGAGATGTGAACTGCCTGACTAGGTGTCAGAGTCATGCCTCAATATGAACATAGAGGTCTTTGACAGAAACTGGAAGATTTATTAGTCCCAGGCATTGAAAGAAATTTCTGTCCAATTATTTGCTGGCCACTAGACTACCTGAGTACAGATTTTAATGGCCCTACACCACAAAGAAGGCAGACTTTAGAGAATTATTTGGGAGTATTCACTAAACAAGCAAGCAACAACTACATTAATAAGCAGCAACAACTACATTAATAAGCAGCAACAACAAATTCTAGTGAGACAGGGAGAATCTGGTTTCCACAGTTGCCATTTCTAGTATTTAAAATATTTAGTTTTCCAAATTTATAAGAAAGAAAAACAACCCCATTAAAAAGTGAGCAAAGAACATGAGCCGACAGTTTTCAAAAGAAGACATACATGCAGCCAACAATCATATGAAAAAAGCTCAACATCACTGATCATTAGAGAAATGCAAATCAAAACCACAAGGAGATACCTTATCACACCAGTCAGAATGGCTATTATTAAAAAGTCAGAGAAGAACAGATGCTGGGAAGGTTATGGAGAAAAACAAACATGTATACACTGTTGGTGGGAGTGTAAATTAGTTCAACCATTGTGGAAGGCATTGTGGCAATTCCTCAAAGTTCTAAAGACAGTAATACCATTTGACCCACCAATCTCATTACTGGGTAAGCACCCAAAGGAATATAAGTTGTTCAATTGTGAAAACACATGCATACATATGTTTATTGGAGCACTACTCACAATAGCAAAGACATGGAATCAACCTAAATGCCCATCAATGATAGACTCGATAAAGAAAATGTGGTACATACACACCGTGGAATACTATGCAGCCATAAAAAAGAATGAGATCATGTCCCTTTCAGGAACATAGATGGAGTTGGAGGCCATTATCCTTAGCAAACTAACACAGTAACAGAAAATTGAATACCACATGTTCTCACTTGTAACTGGGAGCTAAATGATGAAAACATATGGACACATAGAGGGAAACAATACATACTGTGGCCTGGTGGAGGGTGGAGGATGGGAGGACAGAGAGGATCAGGAAAAATAACTAATGGATGCTATGCTTAATACCTGGGTGATGAAATAATCTCTACAACAAACCCCCATGACCTGCGTATGTACCTTTGAACTTAAGATAAAAGTTTTAAAAATAAAAATAAATGAAATGAAGTATCTAGTTTTCAACATAAAATTATAATACAAGTGAAGAAAGACACAGGAAGTATGGGTCATAAAAGGAGGGGGAAATGCAATCAATAGCAGCAAATCTAGGTGTTGAACTTGTTGGACAAAGGCTTACATCAGCTACTTTAAAAATAGGGTCAAAGAGCTGAAATAAACCATGTTTAAAGAACTAAAGGAAGATATGACAACTATTTCTCACTAAATAGAGAAAATTATTAAAGAGATAGACATTATTTGTTGTTAAAGAACCAAGTCAAATTCTAGAGATGAAAAAGTACAGTGATGGAAATAAAAAATGCAGCAGAAGACCTGAACACCAGATTTTAACAAGCAGAAGGAAGAATCAACAAACTACAAGATAGGTCAATTGAGATTATCTAGTCAGAGTAATAAAAAGAAAAAAGAATGAAGAAAAATAAAACAGCCTAAAGAAATCTGAGACATTATCAACCATAGCAAACCACTGAAAACATCAGATGTTGACAAAGAGATAAATAACAGGAACTCTCATTCACTGATTACAGAAATCCAAAAGTGTACAACCACTCTAGAGGACAACTGGACAGTTTCATACAACACTAAACATCTTAACCATAGAATCCAGCACTCACGTGTCCTGGTATTAACCCAAATAATCTGAAACGTTATGTCCACACAGAACCTGTACACAAATGTTTGCAGTAGCTTTATTCCTAATTTCCAAAGCTTGGAAGCAAAAAAAAAAAAAAGTCCTTTAATAAATGAATGAATAAGCAGACTGTGGTACATTCATAGAATGGAATATTATTCAATTATAAAAAATGAGTTGTAAAGCCCAGACCTGGAAGAAATTTAAATGCATATTACTAAGTCAAAGAAGCCAGTCAGAAAAGTCTATATTATATATGATTTCAATTGTATGATATTCTGGAAAAAGCACAGTTATGGAAACAATAAAAAATCAGTGGTTGTCAGGGGCTCCCGGGGAGGAGGGGAGGAAATGATGAATGGAAGGAGAACAGGGAATTTTTAAGGCAGTGAAACCATTCTTTATGATACTGAATGGGGGAATACATGTTATTAAACATTTGTCAAAACCCATAGAATGTAAAACACACACCATCAACCCTAATGTAAACTATGGAATTTGGTTACTAATAACGTATTAATATTGGCTTATCAATTATAACAAATGTACCACATGAATGCAAGTTGTTAATAATAAAAGAAACTCTGGGGGAGGGAGTAAAAGGGGTTACATGTGAGTTCTCTACACCTTCCATTCAATTTTTTGTAAACCTAAAGCTTCTGAAAAATAGTCTATTCATTTAAAAAATGGAAGAGATTCACAAGGTTTATTTAAAAAGACAATCCAATGATATACTGTCAACAATATATTCACTTTAGATTCAAAAATGCAAATAGGTTGAAACTGAAAAGATGAAAAAAGTATTCCATTCAAAGAGTAAGCAAGATAGAGTGCTAATGGATGGCTATACTGATATTACACAATATCAACAAAAAGACAAGAATTATTACTGGAAACAAAGAAGGACAATTTATGATGATAAAATCGCTGGTCCATCAAGAAGATACATCAATTATAAGTACATATGCACCTTGCAGCAGATCTCCAAACTACATAAAACAAAGACTAACAGAACTGTTTGGAGCAATAGATAATTCCATAATTATAGTTCAATGTCAGCATCCCACTTTCAATAACAATAGAACAATTAGATAAAGGTCCACAAGGAAATAGAAGATGTGAACAGCATTATAAACTAACTACAGCTAATTGACCTCTACAGAAAACTCCACCCAATAGTAGTAGAATACATATATTACTCAGGGCACATGAAACATTCTACAGATTAGTCTATAAGGTCATAAAGCAAATCACAATACATTTAAAAGATTAAAATAATGTAAAGGATGTCCTCTAACCACAATGGAATAAAATTAGAAATCAATATCAGGCAAAATATTGTGAAATACACAAGTAAGTGGCGATGAAACAACACATTCCTAAATAATGAATGGCTCAGAGGAAATCACAAGGGAAAATAGCAAATAATTTGCAAAGAATGAAAATAGAAACACAACATACCAAAGTTTATGGAATTCAGCAAAAGTAGATAAGCTAGAGATGTGTTTAAAAGAAAAAAATTCCTTTATCAGTCATTGTCTCTGAAATGACAAAAAGTGTGTGTGCGTGTGTGTGCGTGTACATATGTATGTAAAAATCAAGTAACAATATGTTCAAGATGATTTAATTGTATTATTTAAGTTGCTATTGTCAAAAACTATGCATACTAGAGGGGGAGACTTCAAAAGCAAAATAACTAAGAAAGCTTTCATTCTTTTGCAGAAAATTAAAAGAGAATATGATATAGAGATACTGTGTAGTATATTCATATTAGATATTCCTTCTTAGGTGACATTTGAGATCAACCTGAAACACAGAAAGGAGCTAGTCATGATAAAATCAAAGAAAGAGCATTTTAGACCTAAAAACATCTAATTCAAAAGTCCTAAAGCAGGAAATGACCTTTGTTTGTAATGGAAAGTTACAGTCACCTATGGTCCCAGCAGAAAATAGATGGCATGCTCCTATGGGAACTGAAAGAGGTTTAACAAAAGAAGTAAATACAAAGTTGTGAGAAGGATTTAGGAACATCAACAAGGGATTTCTGTATATGTATTATATATGGACTACTCTGAATCTAGCAACAGTTGGGAGGCTTAGCAACCAACACAAGGCCTGAAGTAGCAAAGGGAGAAAGTACTATTACAAAGCAGAAAGAGAGAGAACCTGTACGTGGCTACATCCATGACCTGTGATCTTTGGTTGAGCAATACAAGTAGCCTCATTTGTCCCATCTGAAGGAGAGGGTAGGGGAAAATACTTCAAACTAGCTGCTGCCTCACTCTAATCCTCAGCTGGTGACTCATTGGCTGAACACAACCAGAAGTCAAATATCATGGAATTCTCTTGATTTCGCCTCTAGAGGCACAACACAGGGTAGAAACAAACATGGTTGGATAGAGAGTGAATCTGGGACAGGGGAAGGAAGGGGGAGTGGAAAATATCCAGCACATATGTAATGTGGAAAGATGCACACCCTTATGACACTAACGGTTACCTTTAAAGAAAGGAGAGGGACAACAGACCATGACAGTAGGTCATCAAAGGGAATGCCTGTAATCCCAGCCACTTGGGAGGCTGCGGCAGGAGAATCGCTTGAACTGTACAGCAGAGGTTGCAGTGAGCTGAGATCATACCACTGCACTCCAGACTGGGCAACACAGCAAGACTCCATCTTAAAAAAAAAACCCTTTAAATTTGTATTTGCTATCCCATGCACTTGAATTTGTTTTTCAACATAATGTATTTATGCATTTTGTATGTAATTTTTAAAATCTCAAAGTTATCTGTGTATCTGCCTAATGTTATGTGGTATGTGCTTGGTGAGAGTGAAGAAATTATCATTTCATCATTTTAATATGAAAGCATTAAATATTATGAAATGTTTTAAACTATCACTTGATTCCTTCTCATTGGAAATATCTTTTTATTATCTTTCTTCCTTTTCAACTCATTTTTGTGCCCCTTTATTCTTACAACTAGAAATGATTAAATTTTATGTGAGGTAGTCTAGAAGTTAATGAGGTAAGGTATTCAGGGAATTCTCATTTAAGTTCCCCAGAATCATTTATTCAAACTAGCTCATCTCTAATTGCATCTCATTTAAAATTAGTGTCTACTGTTTTGGGAAATTGAGTAAATGTATTTTAAAACACATCTGACAACAGAAGAGACTTCCTACCAACCTCAGTTCAGTAGGAAACTAATTGTACATAAGTAGCATTTCCATAGAGATCTCTGTCCCAAGGAATTTTCTCTGCTAACTCCTCATCTGGGATAAGGATTAATGGCCTGTTGGAAAACAATGCCCAAGAGGTCTCAGGAAGAGCTTACAAATAACACATCCACAAAGCATTCTGATATTTTCTACTATTGTCTTCCTAACCCATGTTTTCTTCTCTTTGGAACCCTGTAACAATTGAAAACCTAAGTTGTGAAGCTAATTCTTAAATACTCATGTATACTACAGTTTATCCATCCTCTGAACGTTTGAAAAATTCAAGTGTATTCCTTCATAATTCCTTTTTATTGAAAGATATTTATCAAAAGGTGAGTAAAAAGGCACGTTTTCAAGTCCATGCATTCTTAGGGAAATTGAAATATGTGTAGATCATACTGCCACTGCCTAATATACATCTGAAAGGCAGAGAGCATTTCATTTCAGGGAGCCTTTTCTAACCTTTGGAAACAGCTGCTCAGTGGTTCTAAGAAGCAACTAGATTTCTCTTTGTAATTAATCTATCTCTCAATCTCTCACTGAAACCAAATTTAAAAACATTAAACCCATTTAAAATCATTATGATTTTAAATTTGGTTTCAGTGAGAGACTGAGAGGGAGATTTATACACTATATCTGAGAAATATTAAATGCCCAAAACAAATATGAAGCCTTCTTTCAATCAGGTGGATTTTTAGAATATATGTTCAAAATTGGATGGATTGATTTGTCTGTGTGTTTCATGCAGATTCCTAATGTCAGATAAAAATAACTTTTATTTCTTCTTATGATCTTTTACTATATAGAAAGTCTACAAGTGCAGTACATATAAAGAAAATATTGTGTATGGTAAAAATGAAGTATAAGCTACACTAGAATGAAGATGGAAGTGGAGATAAAACAGGAGACATCAACAGGAATAGGGTCTGGTACTTTATTTATCTTTTTTAAGTGAAAGCAAGTTTATTCAGAAAGTAAAGGAGTAAAAGAATGGCTGGCTACTCCATAGACAGAGCAGCCCCAAGGGCTGCTGGTTGCCCATTTTTATGGTTATTTCTTGATGATATGTTAAACAAGGGGTGGATTATTCATGCCTCCCCTTTCTAGAACATACAGGGTAGCTTCCTGATGTTACCATGGCATTTGTAAACAAATGTACTCTACCATATAGGGCAACTTCCTGACGTTGTCATGGCACTGATGGGAGTGTAGCAGCGAGGATGACCAGTGGTTACTCTCATCGCCATCTTGTTTTTGGTGGGTTTTGGCCATCTTCTTTAGAGTAATCTGTTTTATCAGCAAGGTCTTTATGACCTGTATCTTGTACTGACTTTCTGTCTCATCCTGTGACTTAGAATGCCTTAACCATCTGGGAATGCAGCCCAGTAGGTTTCAACCTCATTTTACCCAGCTGCTATTCAAGATGGAGCTGCTCTGGCTCACATGCCTCTGACATTTCCTCCCTCCCCTTTACAAGAGAACCCTTAATCCTAAGGGTTGGAGAGGGACAAAGATCCATCTCCTTCTGTAGCTTCTTCAGGCTTAAGAGGAGCAATGATATTCCTGCCTAACAATTAGAGTCTCTCGTATTTGGGGTAGAGAGGAGCTCGTCAAAAAGCATTGGTATGATGAGAGCCATTCATAACTCTGAGTTTCAACAAGAGGTGCTATCTGAAAGATTGATAAGTGTTCCATTTAAGAAAACATTCACTAAGCATATTCTGCATCCGTATGCAAAGAGTACAAATGCAATGTATTCCACAGCAGCAAAGCAAAATAAGTAAAATTATTCCAGGTAAACTAAATTTAAAGGCTTCCCATGAACTGAGCAACTGTTAAAACCAAGCTGATACAGGGTTGCCAGATGATTCCAATATGTGCCCATGATTAGAATATTGGTCCAGATTTTTACATTACCCAAACCTCTTGTATCTTCTGAGTAACAGTCTAAGATCACTGGTTGGTTCACAGGAATAAGCAGGTTTAGCCTAAATTGTAGAAACAAACTTAAAAACAACTCATGAGACTAGAATTTAATAACAAGTGTACCATACTTCTTGAAACATAATTTTTCTCACTTCAGTTTCTCATTTTTACTGAAGACAAATTATGATAAGACTGATTTACTTTATTGCACTTGGCCTGATTATTTGTATAAAGTGGAACAAGAATAATTATTTTATACATTACCAAAATTTCTTTGTCAATCACGTTTTTGCCAGTGGCTGTGGTAACGAGTTTTGTCATACACAGACAATTGTCTTGTTTTAATCCTCTTCAAAAGGTGGTTTATAGTCAGCTATACAACTCTAACGGATGTTCTTAAATGCAGGTTTCTGATAACTTTGGAAATTGTGACATTAGAATAGAGGAAACAACTTTTGCAACTCTCGTGAAGAACAGGAATGTTCATGAATATCAAACAGAACAGGAGTTAACTGCATAAACTAAACTAAAAGAATAAACTAATCTTTTTGACTTTGCTTAAAACGTTGCTAACCCTTTGTTTTGTTTTCCAGAGTTAAGAAAACTTTTACTTTGAGCTATTTACAGCCTTTAGCAATTGAGTAAAGTATACTTCTGTGGAAAAAAAAAAATGGACCATATTTGTTTCTCTCTACCTGATTTCTCCAGAATTTGGAGACTATTTGTGAGTATTCTTAACTGATGGCAATATATTTATTTGCATAAGTGCAATAAGAATCTGTTTTTTTTTTTTTGTAGCCGGACACAGTTGGAGAAATTGGTTATTTTACCAAGGCTTTGACTGGAATGGTGTGTTTTCCTTTAAGGAATGAAACTTGACTTATAGAGCCAATAAAAACCCCTTGGGGAACTGACCTTCTACCTTGCCTACACAGTCCCTATACAGGGTTTCTGGCCTGTGGTAAGTAAAGAATGTCATTTTCTAACATTCCAAGGATTCCTGCTTTATCTTGGGACCCCATGAGGAGAGGAATTTACTCAACTCATGGGTCTGGCACTTTAATAAAGTGGCTTTAAACATTTGTGATTAAGTAAATCCCCATGTAGTAAAATAGTGATGAAACATTTCTTGAAGTATAAGATCCAAAAGACAGATAAAATCCCAAAGCTAAAAGAAATAAAATACAAGAATGACATGAGAAAAAAATATGAGATCTAAGAATAGAATTACAGAGCTTAAATATACTTCAAAATTAAATCACATTGATTAGTCATTCCTAGTCTGATGTCTTCAGGGAAATGTCCAGAGAAATGGAGGAGCTCTGGGTGACCACCACTCACAGACAAAATATACTTAATAAAGTTAATAACAAAATCCCAAATAATATAAATTTAATAAAATTGCGGAAGACATACTGGAGTGAATATTGTCATTAAAGGTAGTTATAATTAGTTATAATTATGGAAGAATTCATGGAGGATCAAATCTAAAATTGCTTTTTAAAAAATTCAAGGATGGTCCCTGGTAGAAAAAATATAAAAGGTGAACATAACAATGTTAAATAAAGATAGCAGGTATCTAATAGTGAAATTATTTAATAATGTAATTTGCAATTCTCAGAATACAGGCATGCACCACATAATGACATTTTCATCAATGACTGACCATGCATGTGTTCAACAGTGGTCCCATAAGATTACAATGGAGCTAAAAAATTCCTGTTGCCTAGTGACACTGTATCCATGATAATGTTATAATGTAACACATTACTCAAGTGTTTGCAGTGATGACGGTATAATCAAACCTGCACTGCCAGTCATATAAAAGAATAACACATAAAATTGTGTGCAGTACATAATACTTGATGATGATAAATAAATATGTTACTGGTTTATATTTTTGCTATACTATACTTTTTATGATTTTTTATACTCCTACTTATTTTTAAAAAGTTAACTGTAAAACAGCCTCACACAAGTCTTTCAGCAAGTATACCAGAAGAAGATATTGTTATTATAATCATAGGAGATGACAGCTCCATGCATGTTATTGCCCCTGAAAACCTTCCAGTGGGACAAGGAGCTGGAAGACAATGATATTGATGATCCTGACCCTGTGTAGGCCTGGGCTAATGTGTGTGTTTGTGTCTTCATTTTTAACAAAAAAGTTAAAAAACTTAAAAAAATAGAAATAATTTATAGAATAAGGATATAAACAAAGAACATACTTTTGTACAGCTGTATGATGGGTTTAAGTGTTATTCAATAATCAAAAAGTTAAAGAAATTAAGAAGTTTATGAAGTAAAAATGTTACAGTTAGCTAAAATGAATTTATTATTAAACAGAGAAAAGTGTTTTTTAGTAAATTTAGTGTAGGCTATAGACAGTGTTTACAAAGTCTATAGTAGTGTACAGTAGTGGTCTAGGCCTTCACATTCCCTCACCATTCACTCACTGACTCACCCAGAGCAACTTCAAGTCCTGCAAGATCCATTTATGGTAAGTGCCCAATATAGGTATACCATTTTTTATCTTTTATACCATATTTTATTGTACCTTTTCTATTTTTATATACGCTTAATACATAAATACTTACCATTGAATTATGATTGTCCACAGTATTCAGTAAGGTAACATGCTGCACAAGTTTGTAGCCTAGGAGCAATAGGCTATATCACATAGCATAAGTGTGTACTAGGCCATACCATCTAAGTTTGTGTAAGTGCACTCTATTATATTCACACAATGACAAAATCACTTAACAATACATTTCTCAGACTATATTCCTCTTGTTAAGCTATGTATGACTGTATTTATTTTGACATCAAATTAGTTTATATCATGCCTTTATTTCATCTTTCATTTCCAATACGGATTTTCATCTGAAAAAGCACTCAGGCCAAGACATATTTCTAAATTTGATGCACTCATATAACATCTTGATTAAATCAAGGTCAAATAATGTGAAGGGGGTCACACTCATTCAGGAACAACCCTCGAGTACAGATGCTTTCTGGGGCTCTTGAAACTCTGAGTTTATAGTCTCAATATTTTATTACCTCATTTAAAGCAGCAATTACTTTTCAATCTTTAGGATGTTCTTAGTCATTAGCAGAGTATGGAAACAAATGATTAACAATATCTTAAAATATGGATAGTAAAATTTTCTTTGTCATAGCGTTTGGGGATGGATACTAAATGATTTAATGGTGTAGAAAGCATATGGGGGTGTTTGACACAGAGGGTTCACTAAGGACTAGTTGGAAAGAGTGTTATTATTGTTTTGCACACTTCCGGCGTGAGATAGCATATAATCAAAGGGCAACATTCACATGTTAGCCCTGAGGAGCTTTGTATGACACCTCACAGGATGACTTTGAAGATGTAATGAAACAGAGAATGTGGAAGCTGTGCTTTATAAACTTATAAATGTAATCTGTTACCATTAAACAACTAATTGACTGGCAGAGTTACTCAGAATGTTGTCACTGAGATGCTATCTTAACTTTTCAACCGAATATTTCTCATCCTGCAGAAAATTGTGATATTCATAAAACACATGTCACCACTAAAAGAAAAGCATATGAGCAAAAAATTAATCTTTCTCAAAATACTGCTTCACTAAACTAGTTGAGGTTGGTATATCAATGTACTTTCTAGCTGAAAAAAAAGGAAAGGTCTTGAAAATGTAAAATAATTTCAGATTTGACTGTCTCTAAGCCTAAATTGGGACATCAACTTTTGTCCTGACTGCAGTCACTCAGAACTAAAAGACATATTTGTAGTTATGTGCAATCAGTGGGTCATGACAACTATCCAAACTCTTATATTAAAGCAAGATGATAATCTCATTGAATAAAAAAATTTTTTTCAAAATGGATGTTAGCTAAAATTTAACATAAAATATCAAATGCCCAAAGGTTGAACTAAATCGTAATGAATAAAAGCCCAAGAATGCAAAATCGAATTCCTGAGCATAGGGAAACTTTGTCATTGTAGGTTAACTCTCTCAATTTATACTTGAGAAAACAGACAATAAAAGTATTTAATTTTCTTGTTCAATTTCAAATCGCTGAGATAGATTTAAATCCAAAAGTCTTCTTGCCTCCCTTGGAGATGATATGATTATTTAACTAACTAGTTGGAGCTGGACAATGCTATCTTGATGATTCTTATGACTCCAGGTTTTCTCCTCCTTTTTCTCCTACCATTGCTACCTCAATATGTTTATTCTTCTTAGCATTTCAGTAATGCCTTGCAGCACTGTTTCTGAAAATGAACCATCCTGTTCCTCAGCCCCAGGCCACATTTACTCTATCAGACACCTAAAGATAGGAAACAATAAATTTCATTCTAGCAACCTTCTCAGCTGATTTTTATGCAACTCAAAGTTTGAAAACTATACGGTCACTTTTACTTTGTATTTAATCCTCACCTCACTCAAGAATGGTAGTTATTGTCAACCTTCTTACACAGAAGAAGAAATTCCATTTCAGAATGGTTGGGTTACTGGATTAAGATATCTGCCTTTAATTTGTAGTGTCCCATAGGAAAATAAGATCACCTGATACCAGATGTTTTATGTTATTCTGACCCCAGGTTACTGCACCCTGTCATCTATAAGTAGACAATCAATGCATCACCATGTTTTGTCGATACCCATAGCTCTACCTTCTTTGGCATATCCCTACTACAGGTGAAACAAATTGAAGATAATGCCACTAACTAATGAAAGCCACCCTGAAGAATTTATTCTGCTAGGCTTTGCAGACCGCCCTTGGCTAGAGCTTCCTCTGTTCACTAGTCTTCTTATAATGTACCCTATAGCCGTGATGGGAAACATCACAATCATTCTCATGTCCAGGTTAGACTCTCGTCTTCATAGCCCCATGTATTTCTTCCTCACCAACCTCTCCTTTTTGGACATGTGTTATACCACAAGCATTGTCCCTCAGATGCTGTTTAACCTGGGAAGCTCTAAGAAGACCATCAGCTATATGGGGTGTGCGGTTCAGCTTTATTTCTTTCACATAATGGGGGGAACAGAATGTTTGCTTTTGGCTATTATGTCCTTTGATCGCTATGTGGCCATCTGCAGACCTCTTCACTACACCCTCATCATGAATCAGCGCGTCTGTATCCTTAGTTTCCACCGTGTGGCTAATTGGAATAATCTATGCTGTCTCAGAGGCCACTGCCACATTACAATTGCCACTGTGTGGTCTCAATAAACTGGACCACTTGGTGTGTGAGATTCCTGTTCTGATAAAGATTGCCTGTGGTGAAAAGGGTTCTAACGAGCTCACACTCTCTGTGGTATGCATTTTTATGTTAGCTGTCCCACTATGCTTAATTCTTGCTTCCTATGCTAGTATTGGAAGTGCTGTATTTAAGATCAAATCTTCCAAGGGAAGGAAAAAGGCCTTTGGGACATGCTCCTCCCATCTTATTGTAGTTTTCTTATTTTATGGCCCAGCCATCAGCATGTACCTTCAGCCCCCCTCCTCCATCTCAAGGGATCAACCCAAGTTCATGGCCCTCTTCTATGGAGTGGTGACTCCCTCACTCAACCCTTTTATCTACACCCTGCGGAATAAGAATGTAAAGGGGGCATTACGCAACTTGGTGAGGAGCATTTTCAGCTTTAAGTGATAGTGGGTAGACATAAAATGAAGTTATTGAACAGTTAGAGTAGGTTGCTATGGTTTTATCTAACAAATTCTTGTCTCATAATCAAATATCGCTTTACATGTTCTTGCAAAATATGTTATGTCTCCGAGACTCTTTGTAAACATGTTCAGCAAGGATTATACTTGGCTAGTAGGCACATTATATTATGGAAATATATTAAAATAGTTCTATACTGGTTGGTACATACAGAGATAGTAACTGTGTTAAGTAGTAAAAAAATTAGTAAAATGAATTTATTAGTTCAAGCTAATTGTAAAAATAGTATAGCAACCACTCATCAATGAGCCTCCTGTCAGAGTCACCTGAGAAACATTCCATCACTCTCTGCATGTTGTCCCAAGTCTAAATGGGCAGTGTGGCTACACTGGGCATTCAATGTGAAGCACATTATACTTTGGAATAATCATGAGTCTCATAAGCTTATCAACCCCAATTTATGTAGATACTATTGCTTCTTAAAAATTCAGTGTAATTCTTTTTTAACAAATAAGTATGCAGTGATTTTGTATTTTTAATTAAATAATTTATTATTAAATTTTGAAATGAGTGGAATAGTGGGACAAAAAGTATGAAAAAGTTTCTGATACTTTCCTTTTACATACTATAATAATGAGTCTTCGAATCAGTGAGATAACAAGGAAGTGATATTAATAATGAAACACAACCTGGAAGCATTTCCGTGCACAATTTGGAACAGCCAGGAATGCCTTTTGGAACTAACTGTGTTAGAATCAGAATCAGTATGAGAAAAAAATAATTTGCATTTCTGGAACAAAAAGCAACTTGATTACCTCAACAAACAATATGTCTTTTTACTGATGTAAATGTTAAATGCAAATGATGTACAAAACCTGTATCATTAAAAGTTGGAAGTGCTAAAACTTAGTTCTAGGACTCACACCCCAAAACTTAAAACTTTGTCACGAAATTAGTTACAATTTATGAGAGCAAATGAATAGATTTTATATTTACTTGGTGTTGAATTAATATGTTGAGAGTTCAACACGGTGTTGTGTAGTGAAGAAGTAAATACTTGTAAGAAAAACAAAAGGTCATTTGGACTTTTCTGGCATAACTTCTGGTATGATCAAGATCTAAGCCAATAATTGGAAGGAAAACCTCATGTTAGTTCAAACAAGAATCAACTGCAAACCAGATACACTTGCTGAAAAATAACAGATCATCTGGTGCTGATACAGATCCTCAAATCATTGAACTTTTATATATCTAGTTTGGAAAAAAATTTAAGTAACTTTAAAAATTGGCATATTTCTGGTTGATTGCCAGAAAAATGTTTTCAAATTTTATACACATGCACACACAAACACATGACCTAATTCTGTGGTGTTAGACAATAGCTTTGATCATTTTTATTAGTTAAGGTATAGTTTGTCTAACTTAGTCTTATATACAGAAGTATATAGTAATTTCTAGTTTTGAAGGCAAAACACAGAACGATTTTTGTCAAAAGCTTTGCTATAAAAACCCATTACAGTTCATCTGACTCTCTCAAATTATCCTCCGTCCTTGGCTAATGTATATACTACCTTCAAGTCCTGTAAAAAACATTCATTTCAGAGGCATGAGTGAAATCTAGACACAGTGAAAAATCAGGATTTCCTAAGAATTATATGCAAAAATCTCAGAATAAAGAATACTCAGAACAGTGGACTGGAAAACCCACAGAAAGGTTTTATTTGGACTTTGCATTTCCAGGGAATATATACTGCTCAGTATGCTACAGCATGAAGGATACTTCAGTCAACTTTTGAAAAATTCTGTAGAAGAGAAGGGACGCATTATACTTGAAAGAGAAAGCGTGCTCTACCTTTTGTGTAAAGCATGAGCAATTCTGAGATTGCCTTTCAAGGAAAGTGATCTAAAGTTCTTATTTCCCCAAGCAAGTAGGCCTTTCCTAAATAACAAATGGAAGAAAACAAAGCATTTTAACCCTAGATTTAAAGTCACTAAAAATGTATTTGGAAAAATATTTAAGGTAGAACTCAAGAAGGTTTAACAGTGGCTTTCTCCATATTAGAGATGTCCTAAGATCTGCATAGCATAATAACTGCAAGGCAAGAAGTGCTAACATGCACCTTCAAGAATGTGCCTTTGGGATGAGTTCATGTCCTTTGCAGGGACATAGATGAAGCTGGAAACCATCATTCTGAGCAAACTATCACAAGGACAGAAAACCAAACACCACATGTTCTCACTCATAGGTGGGAATTGAACAATGAAAACACTTGGACACAGGGCGAGGAACATCACACACGGGTGCCTGTCATGGGTTGGGGGGCAGGGGGAGGGATAACACTAGGAGAAATACCTAATGTAAATGATGAGTTAATGGGTGCAACAAACCAACATGGCACATGTATACCTATGTAACAAACCTGCACTTTGTGCAAGTGTACCCTAGAACTTAAAGTATAATAAAAATAATAATAATATAGACACAGAAGCAAAAAAAAAAAAAAAAAGAATGTGCCTTTGGAATGAAAAAAGAAGACTAATTAAAGTACTCAAAGAAGAATTAAAAATATTTTCAAAAGGCAAATAAAAATTGTAATATTTAATAGGAGTATATAGTAATACATCACTGGCTGAGGAAATATCATAATCATAATCAAAAAGTCATGTTAAAAAGGAGAACTCACAACTATTGAAAAGCTGCCATGAGCTAGTAAAAGTGTTAAACATATTGTATGTATGGTCTTATTTAATCTTTCAATAACCCTTTAAGGTATGTATTAGCCACATTTGATAGATAATGAAAATGTGGTTCACTAATTCTTGAGCTTGCATAGTGTACGTCAGAACTAGAATTTGAAAGCTTTCAATTACCAAAAATTCATGCTTTTTCCACCTTATAACAAACTACTTGCAAAAATGATGGAAATTTAAAATTATACATTCAAAATCATGAAGAATTCAATGTTTCCATCTGAAATTCCATGGGGCAATATGGGAGACTGAAAGGAGGATCTATGTTGAATGAGAACCAGGAACCAGAACCAAGGCTGATATTAAAGAATGTGTGTTTCTATAGGAGATGAGAACTTGAAGGATTTTAAACCCTGAGACAATGTAAGACCTTTATTTTATGACTACATTTAGCAAAGTAAAAAACCACTTGGAGTACAAAAACATAGGAAATTAGTTAAATGTACTGCAACAATCTTTGCAATAGATAATGAGGCTCTCTAGTAGGATAAGAGAAGTAAAAATGAAAAAGATGGGGGAAGTGTGAGAGATTAACATAGGAGGTTAACTTGGAAATTTTGTTAAATGTGTGTCCTCTGGGAAAGAGATGAGCCAAAGACAGTGGTGATGATGTTTTAAGTCTGCAGGATTGAGCAGAAGGTGTAGATTATTTCAACGACTTTAATATCAAGGAAAGTAGTTTTTGAAACAGAAGTTAAAAGGACTCTAGAAAAACTGAAGTCAAATTCCGCGGAAGATGTTACTAATTATCTACAAGAAGAAATAGACATCAGTTGGCCGGGAGCAGTGGCCCACGCCTATAATCCCAGAATTTTTGGAGGCCAAAATGAGCAGACCACCTGAGGTCAGGAGTTCAAGACCAGCTTGGCCAACATGGTGAAACCCCATCTCTACTAAAATTATAAAAATTAGCCAGGTGTGTTGGCATGTGCCTGTGGTCCCAGCTACTTGAGAGGCTAAGGCACAAGAATGGTTTCAACCTGGGAGGCACAGGTTAAAGTGAGTGGAGATTGTGCCACTGCACTCCAGCCTGGGCAACAGAGTGAGACTCCCATCTCAAAAAAAAAAAAAAAAAAAAAAGACATTACTTGCAAAAAGAGAATTAATTGTTATCAAAAATTTTATTTATAAAGGATAAATCTAAATGAAATTTTAGCATTTCTTTTTTGGAGACATTAAAGATATCCAACAATTTAACATGATGTTATATTAAGATAAAGGGTTTATGCATACCATACTTAGTATGATATATAATATACATTTTAACAAGAATTAATATTGGGAAGTGGACAACAGTAGTTTCTGCAGACACTTCTAAGTCTTAGAGTCTGTAATCCCCTTTCCCCAGAAAAACTCTTCAAAGTAAAATAATAGTATTTATAAGAAACACTGATAAGTGTCCAACTTAAGGTTGTTTTAATATATGTGATATGTGATATGCTGTCTGCATTAGGATAGTGAGGAGGCAGGGCTCAGTGGGCAATAGAGAGGATTCAAATGTTTTTGCAGAGAAACTGCTTTAAAATTTGCTTCTGGAATTTCTCCCCTTGCTATGATTCCAATATCCTTCCACTGAGCAAACAGTAGAGTTAACTGCACCATGGGGACATCATCTTCTTCTATCTCAGGGGATTCATTATCTCAGATCTCAAATTCTTAAGTGCAGCAAATCCTCTAATCATTTCTTTCTTGAATCCATAGAAGCTATTTTGCTAGAAAGAGTACCAACTAATGACTGAATCTGAATTCACTATGTGACTCTTAGGCAAATGGGCACATCTGACAAGTCACATTATAAGGCTATTAATAAGTAATTTTGACTGGTCATCTATGTACATCAATAGCTTTGTTAGTATATAGGTATTATGTGGCTTTTCTATATGAACTAAGGAATATGTTAACATAAATTATTTTCTGATTAATACGTTCAATTTGCATGAGCACAATTCTTAGTATGAACATTATATCATATTATAATTAAGACTGTATTTTAAAATTCATAATTGGCAAGAAATGGCCAGGTTGTCTTTTCTATTTGAGAAAACTATCTGAAAAAAATGTCTTTAGATTTTTAAATGACAGTCGGTATACCAAGTACTTTAACAAACATCTCACTTGAAACAAAGATTTTATGGCTGAAGGAAAAAATTTGAGATGCATTCCTTTTAAAATATTTATAATAAAGGACTGACACATGGTCTATTGTCTGTGAAACTCCTGTGAATAGTTCTATCTATGCATTTAACTATGCCTTTAACATAAAGTTGCTACTAAATTATTCATTGTTTTAATTACTATCTAAAAAATCTGAAAATGGAACATGATAAAATGCTTTTGAACTCATTATTTGGCTGTAGTCAATTGTCAGCTATTATTAGCAGTAATTTATAACCTGATTTTTTATGATCCTATTCCAAAATGGTTCTATTGGTGAAAATGGCATAAACTTTTGTTCTATCGCTTTTGTTTTGCATTAACTGTGAAAATTAAACATCAAATATTGTCTTCTCTTTTCCACTGTCCTTCTGCCTAAAATATGTTTTCCTTTCTTTCTGGCTAAAATGTTGCAGGACCATTTTATTTTACTTTATTTAGTTCCATTTTCCTTTTAGTTCACATATAATTGTACATGCTTATGAGATATGATGTTTTGATATAGATATACAATGTATAGAGACCAAATTAGGGTAATTAGCATATTCATCTCCTTGAACATTTATCAATTCTTTGTGACGAGATCATTCAAAATCCTCTTTTCTACCTATTTTGAAATATACGGTATATTATTGTTAACAACAGTCACGCTATGGTACAGTGAAACACTACAACTTATTCATGCTAACTCTAACTTTGTACCTATTGATCATACTCTCCTCATTCCCCTCTTCACCCTACCCTATCCAGCTCCTCTAGTAACCACTCTTCTACTCTCTACTTCCATGAGATCAACTTTTTTAGGTAATAGGACCATTTTAAATAGGCATATTATACTTTGCTACTATTAACCTAGAAGCCGGAGTAGAGACTTTATCTTTTAGTAGTGTAATGAAGTCATGAATAAAAATTCAGTATAGTTCATTGCACTAGTTGATTTAGAAAGTTCTGGGATGTATTTTGGCTAAGGGGAAAACTGAAGTACCACTTGATCCCAATACATCTCTCAATTTTCCCCATGATTCACATTCAATTACTCCTGATATGAGATCACTTTCCCTGCCTCAGGGCTTATTACTAACCTGTGCTGTTGCTGATACCAAGACACTCAGAGAGTTGCATTCTCCCTCATCCCCTGAAGAGTTTCCATTTACGTGATCTGTAAGTGTCTGTGTGTGAAGGGGTTGAGGAAGCGGTGTTAACCTTCGCCAGGGAGATCCCCCTGTCAGCTAACACCTTTATGGGGGGCATTCAGTCTCTTGTAGCTAGGATCCCAGAGGTCCATGACAAGAGTGAGCATTCCCTCAGTTCCCTCATTCGCCAATTTCCCAGAAGCCATCCCAACAGCAGGGTCCCCAGCTTTCTGTCTCTACAGCCTCAGCTTTAGCTTTGCCTCTTCACGCTCAGCATTTTCTTTCCTAAGATCTGTCCAATTTATGTTGATTTACTCGATAATTTGGTCTCTCTCAGTGAAAGCGGTGCTTCCTGGCTGCATCTAGTTGGACATCTTGTTCCTTCCCATCTGTGTAATACATTTTTCATACATGCTTTATTTTGACATAATTTTAGCTTTACAGAAAAGTTGCAAAGATGGCATGGAGAATTCCCAAATACCCCTTACCCAGTTTCACTTTCCCTTAATGTTACATTTCTCTGGTTTATTTTTCAAAATTAGGAAACTAACATTGGTATGTTACTATCACTGAAACTCCAGACTATCTTTGGATTTCAGCAGGATTTTCTTTAATGTTCTTTTTTTGTTGCAAAATTCAATCCAGAACACCCCATTGCATTTAGTTGTCATGTTTCAGTTTCCTGAATCTGTTTCCTTGTTTTTCTTGATATTGATAATTTTGAGTACTGCTCAGGTATGTTATAAAATGCACTTCAATCATGGTTTGTCCGATGTTTTCTCATGATTATGTTATGGGATCCTTGGGGTATCACTTCACCAGCGAAAACCTCTGTCCCTAGTGGCACCTATGCCCAAGTTTTCCTCAGGCCCACTGGCCCACTCAGCCTAGCAGGCTGTGCTCAGCTCACAATACCAGCCTGGATCCCATACCTGCCAAGGGCAAGCAGAGCAGCGAGGCGTGTATGAGCGAGAAAGTGTGGGGTCCACCTACTGCACACAGCCAGGCATGCTTGCTGTGGCAGGGCAGGCAGTTCCAGGCACCAACACAGGCACCAGCTCCCTGCAAGGCTGCAGCTGGAGCAGGTGTACTGCAAGCAGCTTCCATGGCTGATGCTGCAGAATGCAGTGGTGCCCAGAAGCTAAGAGACACCAGGAACCACAGAGCCAAAGAGGCTGTCACAGCCCTGACTCAGGGAGCTCTTAGGTCTGGGCTCCCCGAAGGGCAGCAGTTCTTCACTCCTTTTTGTCGCCTGCAATGTGGTGAGTGAGGAAAGGGTATGTTTTAGCCCTGTTTGTGTGACTGCTCTTTCAGCCATGCCATTCGGTGGGTCCCAAGTTCTTGTCCTGCACCCAGGAAGAATGAGATATGCAGAAAGTGGAGGGTGAGTTAGGTGAAAAGGAGCTTTTCTGAGCAACAGAACAGCTCAGAGGAGACACATAGAGGGTAGCTCCTCTCCACAGCCAGGGTGTCCTGACCAGTGTTCAACTCTCAGCAGAGAGGAGACCCTGAGGTGGATAGCTCCTTTCACAGCTGGCCGTACCATTGCCTTTTCAGCTCTCAGCAGAGAGGAGACCCTAGGGTGGGTACCTCCTCTCTGCAGCTGGTTGTCTTGTCATCTTTTTCAATCTGGCTGAGTCCGGGAGTTTTTATGGGCTTCAGAGTAGAGGAAGTAGGTGCTGATTGGCCCTTGGGCAACCATGTGCAGGCCCAGAAAAAGCATCATAAATTCCCACTCCAGTCTGCGAGGCTGGCAGCCCGGCTCTCAGGCTTCAAGCCTTCCCTGGGTTGAAGGTGGGGCCTCACTGGGGACCCATCCCTCTCTGTCCAGGAGCCTGTCTGCCTCCTGCCACTGTTCATGGCACCCAGGCTGTTCCTGCCGAGGGTCACCTGCAGGCCAGGGCCAAGCTGCCTTCAGCACCTCCCCAGCCTCCCTTCCTTGCTTACTGGTGCCCAAAGTCCAGAGCGGGGCTCAGGCAGCAGGATGCTGGTGTGTCAGCAATGCCCCAAGCATGCACACACCAGGCCAGGTTGCAAAAGCCCCAGGGCTCAGCCTCAACTCCGCTCCGAGATCAGAGCTGGTGCCAGGAGCAGGCAGAGGCCAGGCAGCAGGAGCAGGCACCTCCGAGTCTGCACGGGGGCAAGGGTTCTTTCCCGGGTCCCCAAAAGTGTGGAGATGCCCAGATCCACAGCCACAGCTTGCGCACCTGCAACTGCACCCAGAAGGGCAGGGCTCCTGGCACCCAAGAGAACAGGGATGCCCAGGTTTGTAGCCACATCTTGAGCAGCTGCAGCTGCACCCGGGAGGGTGAGGTTTCTGCCTGCTCCCGGACCCCAAGAGCACAGGGATACCCGGGTCTGCAGCCACAGCTGGGCAGCTGCAACTGAGCCTGGGGAGCACAAGGCACCTGCCTGCCAACTCATAAGGGGTGGGGGCTTTTGCCTGTTCCCAGCTCCTTCGGGCTCCATCGAGTGCACAGCCCCACCCGCACCTCTCCCACTGCAGCCAACGTCATGGCAGCAGCCACTGCACACAGGCCACAGCTGCCATCAATTACACTGGGCCTTTGAATTTTTGAAGAGGTGACCACAGAGGTAAAGTGCCCTTTTTATCCCATCAGAGCAGGGGTTACATAATATCTACATGGCATTACTGATGGTGCTGACTTTAATCACTTGCTTAAGGTAGTGTTTGCACTAAATAAAACTTAAACTTACAATTGTTACCTTTCCATACTCTATTCCTTGGAAGACAGTCACTGAATCCAGCCTATACTTAATGAAGGAGATCACGAGCTCCACCCCCAAAAGTGGAGACTATTAATAGATCAGTAAGGAAGATTTCTCTCTTCTTCTCCATTTATGTATTTATTCAATCATTTAACAGTATGGACTCATACTTTTTATACTTCAGATTATAATCCAGTGATATGTTATTTATTTTGTTGTTGAAATTGTTCCAGCTTTCCCCATTGAGAGCTCTTTCATGCTGGCTGCTGGGTCTTGGACAGGTCTTCATCCTTTTGCTATCCTTTTCTCTTCAAGGCCCCTCCTTGATTTCTGGTATTACTGGTCCTTCTCCTCCAGGCTTATCTTATATATTTTTTCACCAGCCTTAGAAATATCTTAGAATCAGACATTTCCCCAAGGATCTCTGGTTCTTTTCACTGGACATGGCAGACATGCACACACTGCTGTGAGGGTAACTTTGTTTCTAGATTATTTCAGCAGAAAGGGCTAGGTAATGTGTGTTCACACAGTAAGCCCTGAATACACACATATCTGTCATTGCTTCTATATTTGTCCATCTATGTGTGTGTCCGTGTGTATTCGTGCTTGTGTTTAAACATGATGTCACAGTGTAACTCTGACTCTAGCACAGTCCCTCATGATCATTCTGGCCTTCCTTTCTTGTTTACCTATAACTTCTCATACCAACAGTGAGAAACCTGGATGCCACTGTTCATCTTTTAACATTTTTGTTCAACACTAGTATGCTTGTGAAGCAATTACAAAATTAGCTGTACCCACATGAGAAAAAAATTACCATTTAGAATACAGTACTTATGCACAGTTACTTTTCTCTTTAGCCTGACATTTTTTAATCAAAATATTATTTCTCAAAATAACCAAAGTCAGTATTTACTTCTTCTCTACCCTTTTCAGGGTCGTTAGCTTACACATTTATATAACGTGAGATTGATTTGTCACTGTCTGCATACCATTCTAGGATCTTCCTGCATCTTGGTGAAACTTTTGCTTGTTTATTTGCATGCATTTGAGTGCAATTTTGTGATACACTTCTTGGGGATTAATAAATCATAGACTTGCATATTACTAGTGCAGCACCATACAAGACAACTCTATCATTTAAAATGTCCCCTGCGTGTATTCTTTGTAATCAACTAATCTCCCCTACACTAAGCCCTGGATAACACTGGTGTGTTTCCATCCCAACAGGTTTTCTTTTTCCAGATGTCTTATGAATGAACTCATACAATATTCAGACTTTGAAGTCTGGCTTCATTCATTTAGTGAAATACACTTAACAAATATTCATGTTGTTGCATGTATCAGTAGCTCATTCCATCCCTTTGATCAATAGTATTCATTCATCAATCAATTTCCACAAAATCATAGATCATTGTATGGAAATACCCAAGATTATTTTTCCCCTATTGAAGGGCATGGGTTGCTTACAGTTTTGAGTAATTATGAATAACACTGATATAAATACTTGCATGCAAATTTTTACATGGACATAAGATTTAATTCACTGGTGTAAATACTTAGGAATGTGATTGTTAAGTCATATGGCAAGACTATATTAAACTTTATAAAAATTGCCAAATGGTCAAATTAGTTGCACCACTTTGCATTTCTTCCAGCAATCAAAGAGAGTTTCCCTCACTTTGCATTCTTGCTAGCATAAATTTTCAGTGCTTTTGTTTTAGTGACAAAGGAATTTGTGAGAATTTATTTTCAATCTTGTTACATGAGTACTTTCATAATACTTCAATTTTGTATCTCAATTTACAAAGCCTTAATATTGACTATGAAGATTTTTATAGGAAAAAATACTGGCATCTGGACTTTCATATAGATTTTCTTAAATCAGTGAGATTTTCTTCAGTCAACTTAATTGTAAATCAATTATTACAAGCTTTTTTAAATATGGGAAATCATGTCTTTGATAAGAACAGGTCAGTTTTTTCATTTTTTCTCTAAGAATTTTGTTTTTTTTTTCTGTATCTATCACTTAATGTGTATTTGAAAACTTTCTAATTAACTTTTTCTAATACATATAATCCATGAAACTATTCCATTTTCTCAATACAGTTTAGAAATTACTTAAACATTTGGCTAAATGTTCTGAACCTTACTTACTTTCAAGCTACATTTTCGTGCTAGAAAAATGCTTAATTCATGCTGAATATGTTCAGTGTGATTTTTAAAGGCTTCACGATTCAATGTTTTTCATATAACCTAATTTATATTTTATTTCTCTGTCCGTGAAGAGTCTTTTAAGAGGCCAGGCACGGTGGCTTATGCCTGTAATCCCAGCACTTTGGGAGGCCAAATTGGGAGGATTACTTGAGGTCAGGAATTCGAGACCAGCCTTGGCAACATGGTGAAACCCTGTCTCTACTAAAAATACAAAAGTTAGCCAGAAGTGGTGGTGCATGCCTGTAATCCCAGCTACTCAGGATGCTGAGGTAGGAGAACCACTTGAAACCGGGAGATGGGGGTTGCAGTAGTCGAGATGGCACCACTGCACTCCATCCTGGGCAACAGAGCAAGACTCCGTCTCAAAAAAGAAAAAAAAAAGCGTTTTAAGAAGCATAAACAAATTTCCTCCAACCCCCTTTGACTGAACATTGATCGATACTCATTCTGATTTGATCTAGTTCTAAGTCCCAACATCCATTTTATCTTCTCCAAGTATAGTAGTGAATATTCATCAATTGTTCACTCAAATATTTGGTTTGATTTCTTATCATTTAGCACTTAATCCAAGGATATAAATATCTTTTTGCCCAGTGGTAAACTTGTCATCCAATCCTTAGGCTTATTTTGCAAACAGGTTAGGTTTTCCTCAAGATTGAAATGCTCATCCAAACCCTATTTTATTGCTGTCTTAAGTGGGGTTTTTCTCTTTTGACATAGTTTTAAGGTCATTTTGGCATCAGGTTCTCACTATTTAAAAGACTTCATTCAACACATCTTCCAGTGACTCAACCCATATTCTAAACCTAGCCATGAATGTAATACATTCTGAAGTTTTTTGTTTTGTTTTGTTTTGTTTTGTTTTCTTAGACGGAGTCTCGCTCTGTCACCCAGGCTGGAGTGCAGTGATGCAATCTCGGCTCACTGCAACCTCTGCCTCCCAGGTTCAAGCGATTCTCCTGCCTCAGCCTGCCGAGTAGCTGGGACTACAGGCACCCCCCACCACGCCCGGCTAATTTTTTCTATTTTTAGTAGAGACGGGGTTTCACCGTGTTAGCCAGGATGGTCTTGAACTCCTGACCTTGTGATCCACCTGTCTCGGCCTCCCAAAGTGCTGGGATTACAAACATGAGCCACTGCACCTGGCCCCATTCTGAACTTTAAGATGTTCTTTTTTTTTCCAAAGATCACATATAAATGGCCAATAAACATATGAACAAATGTTAATCATAAGAGAATTGCAAGTTAAAACCACAATGAGATATTACCTTATGCCATTCAAAATGGCCATGATTAAAAAAATCAAGACAAAAAAAAAAAAACAAATTTTGCCAAGGGTATAGAGAAAAAAAGAATACATACACTGTTGGTGGGAATGTAAATTAGTACAAGCCCTGTGGAAAACAGTATGGAGACTTTTCAAAGAACTAAAAATGGAACTACCATTTGACCCAGCAATCCCATTATTGGATATCAACCTAAAGGTAAATCATTATATCAGAAAGAAACCTGCATGTCTATGTATATCGCAGCACTATTCACAATAGCAAAGTAATAGAATCAACCTGAGTGTCCATCAATGGACTATTGGATTTCTAAAATGTGATACTACTTCCCCATAAAAAGACTGAAGTCATGTCTTTTATAACAACTTGGATGGAACTGGAGGCCATTGGCTTAAGTGAAATAACTCAAAAACAGAAAGCCAAATGCTAGATATTATCAATTATAAGTGGGAGCTAAACAATGGGTACATGTGGATACAGAATGAAATAATGACATTGGAGACTCCAAAAGGTGGGAAGTTGGGAAAGGGTTGAGGGATGAAAGACTACCTATTGAGGACAATGTATCCTATTTGGATGATGGATACACTGAAATCTCAGACTTCACTATGTAAATATATCCATGGAACACAACTGCACTTCTATACCCTAAATCTGTTAAAATTTGCATTTTTCAAAAACATTTTCTTTATTTTTTTCAAAGCATCTATTTTGAACTCAAATTTCCTATACACTTAGAGGATTTGATGCCTTGTTCTCAGGGCAGGACTCCATGAAAAATAATTTACCTTTTCATACACTTTTTTTTTTTTTTCAAGAGGCAAAGTTTTGCTCTTGTTGCCCAGGCTGGAGTGCAATTGCACTATCTCGGCTCACTGCAACTTCTGCCTCCAAGTTCAAGCGATTCTCCTGCCTCACCTCCCAAGTAGCTGGGATTACAGGAACACACCCCCAAGCCCGGCTAATTTTTTGTATTTTTAGTAAAGATGGGGTTTCACCGTGTTGGCCAGGCTGGTCTCAAACTCCTGACCTCAGGTGATCCACCCGCCTCTGCCTCCCAAAGTTCTGGGATTACAGGCATGAGCCAGCACGCCAAACTCATATTCTTTTTTAATCAGCCTAATTTATTAAAACATTACATTTGTCTTCAACTACAGAAGAAACTTCTCTGGTAAACTCTTTTTTTTCTCTCTACATAAAGTGGGCTTTTATAATTACAAAATCCAAATAGAGCCGCACTTACCACCATCCCCCATGTTAAGCCATAGAACTCTGATGTGAGTCTCATGTCTCCTTGCAACATTGACGTGGCCTCAATCAGCTTCTCCAGGACCTCTATAAAGTAACACCTCATAGCAGTAAGCAGGTCCTCCATAGCACCAGATCTGCCTTTGGTTGCCAAGACACTATGATTCTACAACAAACTGCAGAGAACACTAGCAGTGTTCTGCTTGGAACCTAAATCTGCACCTAGCAACCAGGACAGCACATCAGTGGGATGCCAATGTGGGAGGATAGATGGGGCTTTCTAAACATTTTCACTATTAGCACATGAAAAATGGGAAACTACAAGGCTCTTGTTGATCCAGGAAGACTGGCCACAGAGACTGTATTCCTTCTAGGCACTGACAAGCAACCCTAAAGTATGAGAGAATTAATGTCATTTCATACATGTGCAATTCAGGAATTACTAGGAACGTGGCAGTAAAGAACTTACATGCCCATATCAATAGTCAAAGTCCTCTTAATGTAAACGTGTCTTTCTGAGGTTCTGCTAGACCTAATACTATTTAAAAATTCAAAGGTTCCTCACCTCAGTATCCAATCTTGTTTTGTTTTGGGTTAGATGAGGGGGATAAGCATGAGAGAGTTGAATTATTGTCATTAAGTTATCGATTTAACTTTCAAATGTAAAAACTCATGAAGGTTGAAGGTAATTTGGGGTTTAGGTTTTTTTAACTTTTATTTTAGGTTCATGGGTATATGTGCAGGTTTGTTATACAGGTAAACTGCGCATCACAGGGGTTTGGAGTACAGATAATTTCATCATCCAGGTAATAAGCATAGTACTCAATAGGTATTTTTTCTGATCTTCTTCCTCCTCCCACCCTCCACCGTCAAGTAGACCCCAGTGCATGTGGTTCACCTTCTAGTATCCATGTGTTCTTATGTTTAGCTCCCACTTATAAGTGAGAACATGTGGTATTTGGCTCTTTTCCATTTAGTTTGCTTAGGATGATGGCCTGCAGCTCCATCCATGGTGCTGCAAAGGAAATGACCTCATTCTTTTTATGACTGCATAGTATTCCATGGGGTCTATGTACCACATTTTCTTTACCCAATCTACTGTTGATGGGCATTTAGGTTGATTTCATGTATTTGCTGTTGTGAACAGTGCTGCAATGAACATACTCGTGCATATGTCTTTATGGTAGAATGATTTATATTCCTTTGGGTATATACCCGCTAATGGGATTGCTTGGTGGAAGAGTAGTTCTGTTTTAAGTTCTTGGAGGAATCATTACACCATTTTCCACAATAGCTAAGGTAATTTACATTCCCACCAGCAGTGTATAAGCATTCCCTTTTCTCCATAGCCTTGATGTATCTGTTATTAATAATTTGACTTTTTGATAATAGCCATTCCACCTGGTACGAGATGGTATCTCATTGCGGTTTTGATTTGCATTTCTCTAATGATTAATGATATTGAGCATTTTTTCATATGCTTGGCCGCATGTGTATCTTCTTTTGGAAAGTGTCTGTTTATGTCTTTTGCTGACTTTTAAACGGCATTGTTTCTTTCTTATAAATTTGTTTAAGTTCTTTCTAGATGCCAGATATTAGACCTTTGTCAAATGCATTGTATGCAGATATTTTCTCTCATTTTGTAGACTGTCTGTTTCCACTGTTGATAGTTTCTTTTACTGTGAGAAGTTCTTTAGTTTAAATAGGCCTCATTTGTCAATTTTTGTTTTTGTTGCAATTGCTTTTGGCATCTTCGGCATGAAATCTTGGCCAAGTCCTATGTCCAGAATGATATTTCCTAGGTTATCTTCAGAGTTTTTATATTAACAGTTTTCATTTTTACATTTAAGTCTTTAATTCATCTTGAGTTGATTTTTGTATGTGGTGCAAGTTTGGCATCCAGTCTCAATCTTCTGCATGGAGCTAGTCACTTATCTCAGCACCCTTTATAAAATGGGGAGTCCTTTCCCCATTGCTTGTTTTTGTCAGCTTTGTTGAAGATCAGATATTTGTAGATGTGTGGCATTATTTCTGGGTTCTCTATTCTATTCCATTGGTGTATATATCTGTTTTTGTACCGGTATCATGCTGTTCTGGATACTGTAGCCCTCTGGTATCATTTGAGTAAGGTGATGCCTCTAACTTTGTTCTTTTTTCTTAGGATTGCCTTGGCTATTAGGGCTCTTTTTTAATTCCATACAAATTCTAAAATAGTTTTTTTCTAATGCTGTGAACAATGTCATTGGTAGTTTGATAGCAAATTGCATTGAATCTATAAATTGCTTTGGACGGTATGGTCATTGTAATGATACTGATTCTTAGTATCCATCAGCATGGGATGTTTTTTCCATTTCCTTGTGTCACTTCTGATTTCTTTTAGCAGTGTTTTGTAATTGTCATTGTAGAGATGTTTTACCTTTTAGGTTAGCAGTATTTCTAGGTATTTTATTCTTTTTGTGGCAGTTGTGAATGGGATTGCATTCCTGATTTAGGCCTCAGCTTAGATGTTGTTGATGTATGGGAATGCTAAATTTTTGTACATTTATTTTATATCCTGAAACTTATCTAAAGTTGTTTATCAGATCAAGGAGCTTTTGGACCAAGATTATGGGGTTTTCTTTATACAGAATCATGTCTTTTGCTACCAAGAATAGTTTAACTTCTTCTCTTTCTATTTGGATGCCTTTCATTTCTTTCTCTTGCCTGATTGCTCTGGCCAGGACTTCCAGTACTATGTTGAATAGGAGTGGTGAGAGAGGGCATCCATGTCTTGTGCCAGTTTTCAAGGGGAATGCTTCCAGCTTTTGCCCATTCAGTATGATGTTGGCTGTGGGTTTTTTACAGATTGCTCTTATTGTTTTGAAGTATGTTCCTTCAATGCCTAGTTAATTGAGGGTTTTTAACATGAAGGGATGTTGAATTTTATTGAAAGCCTTTTCTGCGTGTATTGAGATAATCATGTGGTTTTTGTTTTCATTTCTGTTTATGTGATGAATCACATGTATTGATTTGCATATGTTGAACCAACCTTTCCTATCAGGGATAAAGCCTACTTGATCATCGTGGGCTTTATCCCTGGGACACAAGGGATCATGGTAGGCTTTTTCCCTGGGATGCAAATGATCACACCCTAATCTGTGGAGCCTGTGATTATACGTTACTTTACATGGCAAAAGGACTTTATAGATGTGATGAAATTCAGAATCTTGAGATGGGGATATTATCCTGGATTAGGCAAGTGAGCTGACACAATCACACGTGTCCATATAAGAGGGAGGCCAGAAGTCAAAGGGAAGATACTCCACTGCTGACTTTAAATATAGAGGAATGGGCCATGAGCCAAGGAATGTAGGTTACCTCTAGACGATAGAAAAGGTGAGGAAACAGCTATTTCATCAAAAAGCTAAGAAATTAGGTTTTTATGTGCTGTTCGATTTGGTTTGCTAGTATTTTGTTGAGGAGAATCAAGATAATTTGAAAGATTTTCAAATTTCAAGGATTTACACTCCTGCCAAATGACTCCCCAAACCCATAGCCAGTCACTGTTCTTCACCATTGCCTCACTCTCAAGCACAATACAAAAACTTTCCATTTCCTGAGTGGGTAAAGAAATGTGATGTTATAACTAAATAAATATTTGTCAACAATATTACCATGCCTTGGTGTTATCTATTCCATGCATTTCTAGTGAATTGTTCATTAGGAAACCCCAGTACTTTATTCAAAGTTTTTGTCATTTGACCTAAGATAAACAAAGTTATCTATTCCTCCCAAAGAAAAGTGTCAGATATGTTAAGATCGTCTCAGTTTGCCAACAGTAAGAAATTCTTTTTTTTTTTTTTGAGACGGAGTCTCGCTCTGTTGCCCAGGCTGGAGTGCAGTGGCACCAAGCTCCGCCTCCCGGGTTCACACCATTCTCCTGCCTTAGCCTCCCGAGTAGCTGGGACTACAGGCGCCCGCCAACACGCCCAGCTAATTTTTTTGTATTTTTAATAGAGATGGGGTTTCACCGTGTTAGCCAGGATGGTGTGGACCTCCTGACCTTGTGATCTGCCCATCTTGGCCTTAAGAAGTATGGAGACATATAAAAAAGATATATGAGCCAACTGGAAGGGGTCCTCTCTAGCCAAAACAGTGACCATTTCAGCATCAAAATAATGACAGAATGAAATAATAATGCATAAGACCATATTATGATATATAGGTAGACACATAGATAAATAATACCTGATACCCACACGTACACACACACACACACACAGGAAAAAGGAAAGCTATTCCTTCATATAGAATGCCAACTCTATTAGTTTTCCATTGTTGCTATAACAAATTACTACAAATTTGGTGTTTAAAATAACAAAAATATCATGTATCTGGAGATAGGAATACTAAATTGGGTCTACAGGGCTGCATTTCTTCTGTAGGCTTTCAGAGAGAATCTGTTTTCTCAACTACTCCAGCTTCTAGAAGCAACCTGTTTTCCTTGGCTCATGGCCCATTCCTGTTTCTTTAAAGTCAGCAGCAGACTATCTTCTCTCTGACCTCTGGCCTCCCTCTTATATGAACACATATGACTATGTCAGCCCACCTGGCTAATTCAGGATAATAATCCCAACTCAAGGTTCTGAATTTAATCACATCTATAAAAATCCTTTTGCCATGTAAAGTAACATATAATAACAAGTCCCAGAGGTTAGGGTGTGATCATTTGCGACAAGGAGAGGAAGTATTTAGCCTACCACACAAACTAATAAGTTTAGAAGGAATGATGGAACTTTAAGAATCATTATTTGGAAACCACTATAGTAATAATAGTAAAAATTAGTAATAATGGTAATAAAAAATAACGACTGGCCTACATATGGCAGATACTGCCCAGTGGTCTAGGAGAATGACATTGTCGCTGATGTTCTTCATGCACCAATGGCCTGTTAAAGGTACAGTGGCCCAAAACACTTCTCAGCCATTGGTTGAGCCTTGAGGAATTTACAACCTTATGTGAATAAGCATAATTGCTGCAAATATGAAATGTTTGGTTGAGGTATAAGTGACACATTTTAACCTTGAAGGAAAAGTTCTTGTGAACATCCTCAGGACAGTAAGAGAGTAAGATAAATTCAGTGTGGTTCAAATATTAGGTGTTAAAACAAAGAATAGGAGAAAATGAAGACCTTCCCATGACAAGTTGCAAAGAGCCAAGAAATGTACATACTGAATCCTCACCTTCTTGTTTTAAAGAGTTCAGATGTCTATAGGGAGGAACAATTGCCTAGTGATTAAGAACAAACTGTGAAGTTAGAAAGCCCACATTTGAATCCAAGCTTCATCACTTACTAGCTCTGTTGTGGTCAGTTTTCTCATGCAGACAATAGAGACTATGATATTACTGTTGCCTCCCAATAGTTATCCCATCTCACCTACACTGTGTAGCATGTGCTTTGGATGAAATTAACCCCACCCCCAGTGCAGGAGCAAGAGTGACTTTATTTTAAATGCTAATCTGCCGTGTAACTTCTGAATAACCCTGAGTCCCTATAAGATGTTAAGTTGATATATTACTCTTTATGTAGGAACATGTATTCACTGTAAGTTTCCTCCAAAACAACCCTTGACGCTGTTGTAGGAAGCATAGTCCATGGCACCTGTAGCTACCTACATGTTTCTTTCAGAGCAAGTATACTTTCCTCAAAAGATAAGCCCTAGATCTGGAGGACTGCAGTGCAAAATCTAACTATGTTGTGGCCACCCAAGACAACATATATGTCTGTAAATTCCTTTAGTAAATCACCCCAAACCAACAAGCTAGATTTGTCTGCCTCCTTCTTTGATTTATCTGCTCTTTGTGCATTTGAGAGATGGCTTTGCATATATGGCCCTTTCACTGAAAACCTGGCTTCAGAAGTGGCCCCCAATTAATCTCAGCCAATCATTGCATTTTCGCCCCTTGTCCCAAACATGTTGCCAGGAATGTGCAGACAACTTATGCGTCAGTATGAAGCTCTGTATAAAGAGCCATTTTTGTTCATTGATTATAGGATGATATTCAACCTCTTGAATGTGAACAAGGAAGCATATAGGCCTGATTATTGCTGACAATGTTTCGTGATTGTGAGGGGAATCAACTTGATGACAAATCCAATACATGGAAGAGGACATAGCTGAGGAAACTGCAGAGATATTGATCCAGAGCACTGATCAAGCTATACCTGAAGCCCACACTACTGCTGAACTTTTTGGTTTTATAAGCAATAAATCCCCCTTATTTGTTAAAAACAATTATTTTGTTAAAGTAAATGGCCGGCCTGCACTCTTCAAAACTATAAGGTGCATTGAAGAGACAGACAGACTGAGGAATGGTTCCCAATTAAAGAGAAAAAAGAGACATCACACTGCCACCTTATGATCCTGGATTAGATACTTTTTTAGGAAATATTCTTGTGACAACCTAGGGGAACATGTGCATTACAGCGTAATAGTTTAGAAAAAAAATTTAAATGCATATTAACATTAGTATAAAGTGAGAATGATAAACCATACATGTTGAAATGCTAAGATTTTTTAAATCTGGTGAAGCTCAATGGTAAGTCTTTCTACTATTTTTATAACTTTTCCATGAGTTTTTTTGTGATTGTTGGATGATACTTGGTATATAATCACTTGTATTTGAAACTTATGTTTGAAATCATGTAGTGTTTTCATAATATATGATCACTAATCACCTTTCCAGCCTCACATATGTAAAATAGGAGATATGAACCTGAGCTACATAGCAGAATACAGACGGAGTGTACCTAGGCTGGAAGCCAGAGCTACTTTCTGTGATTACCTGGATGACATATTTGTGCCAACAATTCTGTACTGCAGAGTTAAAATAAGAAAAGATAATTGAGTATGTATATAAGAATATGCTGCACAGCAACAAGTATAAGATACAGTGGACAAAGACTGGGAGACATCTGTCTGAATGGGGAGGAGAAATTTACAGGGCAAAAGAAGCTGATGCTTCCATGAGGTTAGCCTTCATTCCTATCTGGGAAAAAGCTGGCTTCACTGTTAGTTCTTCAGTAAAGTTGCTTGCCATACAAATTCATGTGTGCTTTGGAAATCCCAGTTCACAAATGTTTTCATAAGGTTTAGGGCTGACAAGGGGAGCATCTCAGGGCTTCTATTTTGCCTTCAGTGTTGTTGACATAGGAATGGGTTGTCAGAGCTAAAAATGTATTGTCCTTACCCTGATTTTTTCACATACAAGTTGCCAGAAGTTATACAAGCCACCTATTTTCTTCCCTTCAGTTTGATAAAGTGAGAAAACTCATTCCTGTTGTCCTATCTGTGATAATACTGCATAAAGTCTGTTCGACTGGTTTGAAAAGTACAAAACAATAAAAACAGTAATACCAGTGTTAATCTTTGGTGGAATTTTTGGTAACTGATCTATTTCTCAGATTACAAATTACACAGCACAGGCTAATATGGCTAGGATTCAACATTAGATATACTATAATTATAACCTCCCAAAAGAAAATGAAAAGTCTATACATATAAAAGAAAATGTATATGTTTTGTAAGAGAAAAAGGAGAAAAGAGCACAGAAAGTTAAAAAGAAAAAAAAAGAATTTAGATAGTGAGAAGTGGTATCAATAAAATGGCAAAATAGGACTTTCCAGTGCCAGTTGGCCCCCCAGGTCAGACTCTGTAGCCCCAAGACCCATGCCAGTACCCAAGGATCTAGCCTCCAGACCAGTACATATAAGCTGGGCCCCATAAACCCGGACTCCAGACCAGCCCCCAAGGCAGTAAGTTCCACTCTAGCACCACACCAGCTCCAGGCTTCAGGGGGATGGTCCCCACTGCTCTAGGCTCCAGTGGACCTAAAGTCCAGGCCCGCACCAGTAGATATCACCTCATACCTTACATCAGTTAGAATGTCTATTATGAAAAAAGACAAAGGATAACAGATGTTGAGAAGAATATGCAGAAAAGGGAATCCTTATACACTGTTTTTGGAAATGTAAATTAGGACAGCCATGAGGAAAACCACTGTGAAGGTTCCTAAATAAATTAAAAATATTGCCAAACAGGGTGGCTCACAACTGTAATCCCAGCACTTTGGAAGCCGAGGTGGGCAGATCATCCGAGGTCAGGAGTTTGAGACCAGCCTGGCCAACATGGTGAAACCGCATATCTACTAAAAATACAAAAATTACCTCGGTGCAGTGGCACACACCTGTAGTCCCAGCTATTCAGAAGGCTGAGGCAGGAGTATCGCTTGAACCCGGGAGGCAAAGTTTGCAGTGAGCAGAGATCCCACCACTGCACTCCAGCTTGGGAAACAGAGCAAGACTCCATCTCAAAAAATTAAGTTAAATTAAATATATAAAATGCTCATCATCACTGGCCATCAGAGAAATGCAAATCAAAACCACAATGAGATACCATCTTATACCAGTTAGAATGGCAATCATTAAAAAGTCAGGAAACAACAGGTGCTGGAGAGGATGTGGAGAAATAGGAACACTTTTACACTGTTGGTGGGACTGTAAACTAGTTCAACCATTGTGGAAGTCAGTGTGGCGATTCCTCAGGGATCTAGAACTAGAAATACCATTTGACCCAGCCATCCCATTACTGGGTATATACCCAAAGGACTATAAATCATGCTGCTATAAAGACACATGCACACGTATGTTTATTGCAGCATTATTCACAATAGCAAAGACTTGGAACCAACCCAAATGTCCAACAATGATAGAGTGGATTAAGAAAATGTGGCACATATACACCATGGAATACTATGCAGCCATAAAAAATGATGAGTTCATGTCCTTTGTAGGGACATGGATGAAATTGGAAATCATCATTCTCAGTAAACTAACGCAAGAACAAAAAACCAAACACTGTGTATTCTCACTCATAGGTGGGAATTGAACAATGAGATCACATGGACACAGGAAGGGGAATATCACACTCTGGGGACTGTGGTGGGGTGGGGGGAGGGGGGAGGGATAGCATTGGGAGATATACCTAATGCTAGATGACGAGTTAGTGGGTGCAGCGCACCAGCATGGCACATGTATACATATGTAACTAACCTGCACAATGTGCACATGTACCCTAAAACTTAAAGTATAATAAAAATAAATAAATAAATAAATAAAAAATAAATAAATAAATAAATATATAAATTAAAAATAAATGAATAAAAATAGAACTACCGTATGATCCATTTGTATATATTCTAGGTATATATCCAAAAGAATTAAATCACTATGTTGAAAAGCTATCTATACACCCATCTTTATGACAGCAAATTCATAATAGCCAAGGTATTGAATCAATCTAAGTGTCTGTCAATGAATGAGTGAATAAAGAAAGTGTAGTATATATATAATAGAATACTATTCTGCCTGAAAACAAGAAGGAAGTCTTAATATTCTCAACAACATGGCAAACCTGAAGACATTTTGCTAAGTAAAATAAGCCAGGCACAGAAAAACAAATACTGCATGATCTCATATGTGAAATCGACATAAAATGAATCATAGAAGCACAGAGTAGCAGAAAGATGCTTGTCAGGGGTTAGCAGTGGAGAGAAATAGGGAAAATGGGGAGATATTGGTCAAAGGGTACAAAGTTTCAGATGGAAGGAACAAATTCAAGAGATCTATTCTACGGTATGGTGACTATAGCTAATAATACTGTACTGCATAGTTGAAAACTGCTAAGATAATAGATCCTAAATGTTCTCACCACAAAACAGGTAAGTATGTGAGTTAATGATCTGTTAATTAGCTTGAGTAATAATTGCATAATTATGCATATGTCAAAACATTATGCTGTATATTATAAATAAATACATTTTTTTCACTTATCCTTAATAAAGATGGGGGGGGGGGGATATTTGAGTAGGTGAGAAACCAGGATGCTACCGTAAGTGCTCCAAATCGTAAGATTTCCATAGTAGAAAACAGTTCAAAGGGCGAAGTTATGTTCTTTAAGTTTTTAAAAATGTGTTTTTATGTGATGTTTTACCGTATGTGGTCCCAATTCTTGCTAAAAGTCATTTTACATACATTATTCTTGGTTCTTCACTTCTTGGGTAAGGTTAAGGACAAGGGCACATGCCTCATATTTTTCATGCCTAGTTAGAAATAAAGGAAGAGTCAGAGATGCAGAAGGAAGATAAAGTCAGCAGAATCAATGCAATTGCAAGTCACACTAGAAATTGGAGGGAAGTTCTGAGATGCGTTTTTATTTTTATAATAATTTAGGAAATAGTGTGTGAATCAATCATATCTAAATCTCACAGGCCTCAAAAGCTACAGCTGACATTTGAGTTATAGAGAAAACTCAGGCATTGCAAGTACGTTACTTTATACTGAATTCTCCTTTAGCCATTTTTCCGCTTCATTTGACTATGACTGTCAGTTTAAATTGCTCTAGGTATAGCGCAATTATTTCAAATGAAGATGGTTGACAATAATATATAAAACAAAATGATTACTTCTATAAAATAGATTTCTTTATTTGAAACACATATATTGACATACATAATATACTTATTAACCATAAATACTCAAATTAGATCAAGCTTTAAAATAAAAATAAGCTATCATTTTCCATATGACAGTTTCTATCATAAAATTTTTCCAATATATTTTCACATAATTCTTTCATACACCCATTGGCTTCAAGTCATTTTCAGAGCCTCTCTATTTGCCTCAAATGTTTTCCTTAGTTCCTTAGGTAATGCAGTTGCTCCAAGCACTTACCTCACCTAAGTATACCTAGCCTATGATGACCATTTGTTTATAAGCTCCATAGCTCAGCTTTACCAGCTCCTTTTACTTCCTATATATTTCTCACTGCCTTGCAAAAAAGAGGGATCTCAGATGCTGACTTCTGCTATACTGTTTCAAAGCCTCTCTTACTACAATTCATAAAACTTATTGTTCTACTATTGATACTGGATATGAAAGAATATGGACCAAAATTCCTCTCAAAATTTACTATCCGACAAAGAATAAGCATTGTTGGAGAAAAGGATTTGAAGTATTTTGCTGTGTATTTAACTAAACTAAAGATAGAAGACAAAAGTATTCTGCCCAAAAAGCAAGAAATTAAAAGACATATTGTAGAGATTTTTAAATTGAGAGTATCATCTTTTCATAGGATTTACAGCTTCGCTTTTATCAAGATTTACAACAAATTTCATGCCTTATTTTCAATCGAGAAATGTCTGTCTTGGATACATTAGGTTTGTACCATGGAAAAACATCACTATAGATGTTTTATCTTGATTTTACATAGCTGTTTTCTCCACAAGTGAATGGTATTTAGGCTGACTGTGTTTTATTCCTACCTGTTACCAGGAACTCCACGACCTTGTTAGAGTACATGCTCAGCAAGTGCTAACAGAGTGAGTGAATAAAAGAATGGTTGATAAATAAATAGAAGGATGAATCATTGTGAGGGGAGACTCTGTTATATTGTTAATATGACACATACACAGGCTCATTCCCACCCCATTAGTCTCTTCACTGCCCCTCTTACAACTTTGTTTCTGAGGGTGTAGATTAGAGGGTTAAGACTAGGTGTGACAACAGTATAAAAGAGGGCAATGAACTTGCCTTGATCTTGAGAATTTCCTGATGGTGGCTGGAGATATATGCACATGGCCGGAATGAAAAAGAGAGATACAGCCATAAGATGAGCTCCACATGTTCCAAACACTTTCTGAAGCCCAGTGGTTGACTGCATCCTCAGTACAGCTCGGACGATGGCACCATAAGAAGTGAGAATGAGGATGAGAGGTATGAGAACAAATATGGAGCTTGTGATCATGAGGGTCAGCTCATTGACATGGGTATCAACACACGATAATCGCAGAAGTGCTGGAACTTCACAGAAAAAGTGATCTACTTGGCGGTGTCCACACAGAGGTACCCAGAAGGTGAAGGAGGAATGAAGTGCTGAGTTGGTAAAACCACTTACCCAAGAAGCCACAGCCAGCAGGTGGCAGAAACGAGGGTGCATGAGGACAGTGTAATGCAAAGGTCTACACACAGCTGCATAACGGTCATAGGACATCACCACCAGTAGGACACACTCTGTGGTTCCCAGTGCGAGAACAAAGTAAAGTTGAATCATGCAACCAGCATAAGAGATGGTCTTTTCCGGGCCCCAGAGATTGACCAGCAACTGAGGGATAGAGCTGGTGGTGTAGCAGAGATCCAGAAATGAGAGGTTTGAAAGGAAGAAGTACATTGGTGTGTGCAGATGGGAGTCCAGGTATGACAGGATGATGATGAACAGGTTTCCTATCAGTGTCATCAAGTAGAAGATCAAGACAACCACAAAGATAACTACTTCCAGATGAGGCCAATTAGAAAATCCAACTAAAATAAAGTACCCCTCAGAGCTAGCATTGACTTTTCCATCATCATTCATTTCCTATTACCTGAGAGAAAAAAAAGAAAGGTAAACTCAAAAAACGAGTAAACAAATGATCCAAAAATATCAGCACACATGAATAAAAAATAAAAGCCAGTTTGAAGGGCTTGCCATCATTTAATTGTAGGACAATTTAACCATTAGTAGTAATGAATTTAACAAAAGAAGAATTATAAAGCTCATACTGATATAAAAAGTAAAAGAATAAATAAATGAATGGTGAAGATAAAGCTATTCCTTACAGTAGATCCCTAATTAACAAATATAGAAGGGGTGACGGTGTTAAGAAAAACATAAATGATTGCAAAAACTAGTGGATAAAAATTTGATGGGGAACAGAATATGTACAAATATCTAAAATAGTCTAAAATATCTCCTCACAACTTTCTAGTTAATTTCAAACTGAAAAACAGTAAAGTTTGTAGTAGAAAAACCTGTCAGACACCACCATAACCAGTGATTTTATTGATCTTAAGATCAACTGTATTTGCACAAACCAACATCATGAACCTGCTGTGATGATGCTCTGAACAGGACATGCTGTCACTTCAGTGATATTTGTGTTAAAAATTCTAATAATGAAGACTAATTCTAATAATGAAGACACATGAGAAAAACTCAAATTGAGAGAAATAGCTTGCCTATACAATTCAGAAAAGTATCAAGTTTAAGTAGAAAAACAAAGGGTGAGGAACTGGTCCAGATGAAAAGAGACTAGTGAGATGTGATTTCTCAGTGTACAATCCTGGATTTTTTCAAAAACTAGCTATTAACAAAATTATTGAGACAATTTAAGAAATCTCAGTGTGGACTATGGATTAGATAATAATATTGTGCCCATATTAAGTTTGCTGATTTGGGTACTGTGCTGGACTTATGTAAAGTAACATCCTTTTCCTTAGACAAAAAACACTGAATAAAGTATTTGGCATAAAGGAACGTGTCATCTCCAACTTACTCTCAACTAGCCCAGAAAAAGAGATAGATAGGTAGATAGATAGATAGATAGATAGATAGATAGATAGATAAATAGATAGATAGTTGATAGATGATATAACAAAGCTTTGGGGGAAAATGTAAACTAATACTCAATCTGGTAAAAGGGTAAATGTTAGTCTTTTGTACTACTTTTTTGCAACTCTTCTCTAAGTTTGAAATTTTACCATAATAAAAAGTCACAAAAATACAAAATAATTTTTTAATTTTATATTTTATTTAGATGTTTGCCTTATTATAGAAAAATAACTATCAAGTTCTCATTCATTTTAGGGTGACATCTAGGTAAATGGTAATTGAAGGAAATTCCTAACCTAGCTAAGGAAGATAATTTCCATAAAACACAAAATCTTTCTTTGTTAATAAATAAGGAACTTTAGTTTTCTTTTCAGCATTTTCAGGTTATTTTCTTAAATGTGATTGTGGAAAACGTAATCATTGCAATCACAATAATCTTACATATGGATGAAAAGATATGTGGAAAATATTGAATTTAGTCATTTCAAAATGTTCACCTAAAGAAAAAATGTTTAGCTTCAATTAGATAAGAATCTTATCTTGTGATTTGTTTACTTGGACTCAAAATGTATTTCTAAACTGAAAAATTGAATACAAGTAGAGAAGACACAGACACTTGCTCATCAATATATGGGTATTCATGATACGAACTAAGCTAAAAATCTGGGGAGAACAGTGATAGAATGCTTTCTAAAGGATGTGTGACTACAACTGAATTTGAAAAGATTCAAACTTTACAGAAAGGAAAGGAAGATAAAAATTCAGTGAGAGAACAGAGAAGGAAGGAAAAGTGGGAGGGGCAGGAAAATGGAGGAGAACCTGAGTGTAGTTCTTAGAGTTGCAGGTGTGTCTATCACAGGGTTCAAGAAGCTGAACCACAGGGCCTGAAGAAGGTTTCTACATGATGTATTTTTCTCCAGGACAATAATTTAGATAGTATATAAATTCTGAGCATGAGCTATAATTAGTACATATTTATTCTCCAAGTTAGAGAGTTCTGAATATTTAATGAATCATTAAGTGGCTGTTCATCATTTAATACATTGTGCCCAGTGAATCTCATGTTACTTTTTTTGTTAAAAATAAAATATATCTTACAAATAGTTATGACTCCTAGGTGATGCTTTTTCTCCAGTGAGTTTTCAATCTTTCATAGAAAAAAATGATACTTATTTTTGTTATATAGTTATTGTGTCAGGCATAGCAACCCACCATTTAAATACCCCATTTTCTCTGAATTCTTTGCCTCTTCCAGCTTTGCCACATGCCCTCTATTTCATTCCTTCCACAGTCGGTTATTTTTCTTATACCTCCCAATTGGCTATGGCACAGGAAGAAAGAAATCATTGTGGGGCCACCTGTGATTGCCTCTTTTAGGGGTCTCTTAATCGCTCATGTTTTATAAATTCAATGCCTGAAAGAAATGTCAGGAGTAGCTAATTGGTTGAGTTTCAGCAGAAAAGTTTGGAACATTCAGTTTGGTCCCAAGATTAAAAGATTGACCTCAGACCTTTTAACAGACTTGGTAATGTAAATAATCATTAGCCAGTTGTTACACTAATCTAGATTACTTTCAACAACTTAAACAACCATCCAGGAAAATCAGTCTGCACATTGTTTTAAAAGAAAATTTTAAAAGCTATAGCTGAATCAAAAAGCAGCAATAGTCAAAGAGTAAATCATGAAGATTACTTGACTTAGAGGTCACAGCCCTTGAGGGAAGATGAAAATTTTCCAAGAGATTTTTAAAAATTTCTCTAGAATAGGAGATAATACATCATGAGAAATATGAACACAAATGTTATAGTTACCTTCTCTCATGCAGATAAAATTTTCTTCTTTCTTGTACAGTTGCCTCGATAATTTATTACATTAACTAAAACAACATTTAGCTGTGAGATACCTTTGCCAATTGCATGACCCATCTTTGAGCAATCTTACATAGAGAGGTTAGAATGAGATATGAGATAAGAAGCAAACAAACAAAAACTTACCAGATGCAAGCAAGGAAAAGGTAGGAATTTTTCTGGGTTAATTTTCTTCTTCCTGGTGGAGCAGAAAATAAAAGCCTTATCAAAAGTTAAAAGCCTTATCAAAAGCCATATCAAAAGTTTAAGTTATCCTTAACACAAAGAAAGGATAAATGCTTGAGGTGATGGATACCCCATTTAGCCTGCTGTGATTATTACACATTGTATGCCTGTATCAAAAATACCTGGGTCGGGTGCCGTGGCTCACACCTGTAATCCTGACACTTTGGGAGGCCAAGGTGGGCGGATCTCTGGAGCCCAGAAGTTCGAGACTAGCCTGGGCAATGAAGTGAGACCATGTCTCTACAAAAAATAAAAAGAAAGAAATTATCAAAAAAAATCTCATGTACCCCATAAATGCATACACCTATTGTGTACCCACAAAAATTAAAAGTTAAAAGTTGCTTTCATGGACTAGGAATAAGTGATCCTCTCTAGTTTTGGAAATCAGGTATAACGGAGGGAGAAAATAATCTCTTTTCCCCATCCCCATGTCACTGGCCAAGTTTTTTTATTCTTACCATAATATTTCTTTATATATTACCTAGTACTTAAGCAGTACTCAAACAATGCCTTTCACTCTGTCCTTCCTGTATCTGTCCACATTCCCTGTATATTGTCTTCCTAGCTGATGCCCTCATCATGCACAGACTGATCTGATCTCTGATTTTGATCACCTTGAAATCACCAACATAAATGCCTACACTTCCCTCATCTACTACATCAATTAGGAAAACAGTCTGAATGTAGCTATGACTATCATTGCTACAGAAGAGAAAGCTCTGAGTCTACTAAAAAAATTTAGTTTTACCCAAAAGATAAACTTATTAGAGCTTTCAGTGTATCAAGGGATGGGTCTTTATCTTAGAGTCAATGGGCCCTTTTTGGAAACAAAAGAATGTGACTTGCTTTCCTTGACTTGGGCCACTGGGAGGGTAAATCCCAAAGTAGCAATTAATGCCCTTCAAGGAGTTATCCTGGTTAGAACAGTTTCTCAGTGATGTTCTTGGCATGATGCCACATTGTTGTACGAGGATGACAAGGAATCTATAGTCCAGCCATAGCAGAGAAAAATACTTTGAGCTGTATCTGCAGGGAAGGGAATGGGTTATCTTGAGTTACCTGAAACCTCTTCCCCAATTCTTCAGTATGCTAGAGGCCAAATTTGAGATATAGCTTGTTAGGTAGTCTAATTTGGGAATGGGAAAAGGCATGAAACATTTTTTAAAAGGAAATATAATGACTACATTATACATATTTGTTTTATTAATTTGAATTTTTAATTGTGTCTAACATCTCTAAAATTCAAGGCCAAGTTCAGCCCTGCAAAAGTGTTAAAAATTACCTTTGAAGACCATTCAAACTATACTCAGAAGGTCACTACCAAACTCAGAAAACTTTTAACAAAATTATTTAATATTTCCAAAATATTGTTATCAATAATTTCTTTTGATGTCTTGTTAAAAGCTTTGCAGAAATATATAAAAAAGCTAAATTAGCTGTGATAGCTAGCCTACATCCCATGTTTAAAAAAAAAAGCACATCGTGAGTTTATAAACTAATGAAGATTTTTCAATTGTTACATTGTGTCTAGGTGATATATTCCATGTGTACCAGACAAAGTCTTGGTATGAAAATCAAGTCACATTTACAATACAATTATATTTTAAAGTCAGTACTTTTAAGAGCATGATCAGGTATTTTCCTGTCCACTTATGTGAAGCAACTGAAAACAGTCTTGGCTTCAGTAGTCTTGATTGTTGTGAAAACTCCATGTGAAAAATACGTAAACATTATCCTCGATGCCTAGTGCATAATCATTCAATACATGTTAGCTGCTATTACCATTATAGTGAATTTTAATTTGAAGTGATATTTTAACAAGTCATTCTATATTATTTCTTCATCCTTTATTTTAGATATTTAAAATATTAAAAATAAACCCTTATGTTCCCATCATTCAGAATCATCAACCATAACTTTTGTCATTTTTATTTTCAGAATTTTTAGCACATAAAGTATCACAGATAAAGTTCATATCCCCTTCAACTGTCACTCTCTGACCCAACACTAAATCCAGAGACAACTACCATGAGCTTGGTATATATCATTCCAGTTTACTTTAAAATATATTAAATATTATTTTTAAGATAAATATGATTAAATAGTCATATAATCATATGTCTAAACTTCTCTATCTTATTGGAGAGGAATTTGACCAGTGATCCTACAACCTGTGGGGACTAGCAGAATTCAATCAGTTATCAAAATCCAGGAAATGTCTGATATCCTGGTCTGTAGGAGATTGTACCAAGCTCCAATATTTTTCATGTTTTGGTAACTAGAATTGTAGGAGAGTTTTTGGCCCCTGCCAATCTACTGGGTGCCAGCAAATGTTAACATTTTTAGGTGTGATGTTAGTAACTTGTGAAAATACAGCTGGCATAACATGATTTAATTACAGCAAAGTATTTCTAAGGAAGCAACCCTCAACTTTTTTCTCTACAATACACACTCAGATAAATAAAACACATTGAAAGTCACATCTGAGGAATCAAAAGGAATAAAAGACACTAAATGATCTCTGTTGAGCTTCTGTTAATTTGAGTGCTTTGTATGGGAGGAATGTGAATTAGAGTAGATCACAAACTATTAAAGCATTGTAGATGGGAAGCTCAGTTGGAGTTAAGGCCTAGAAAATTCACATATACAACATGGAGTACTATGCAGCCATCGAAAAGGATGTGTTCATGTCCTTTGCAGGGACATGGATGAAGCTGGAAGCCATCATTCTCAGCAAACTATCACAAGAACAGAAAACCAAACACCACATGTTCTCACGCATAGGTGGGCATTGAACAATGAGAACAGTTGGACCTGGGGGGAAACATCATACACCAGGGCCTGTGGGGGCGGTGGGGGGGATGCGGGAGGGATAGCATTAGGAGAAATACCTAATGTAAATGATTAATTGATGGATGCAGCAAACCAACATGGCACATGTATACCTACGTAACAAACCTGCACGTTGTTCACATGTACCCTAGAACTTAAATAATAATAAAATAAAATAAAACAGACGATGGAAAAAAATCAGTCATATTTCTATACAATTTATAGTGGTATCTAAAAACATGAAATACATAGAGGTGACTTTAACAAAATATGGACAATAGCTATACAATGAAAACCTCAAATGCTTCTGAAAGAAAATAAGATGTAAGTAAATGGAGATCTATATCATGTCCCCAGATCAGAAAAGTCAATGTTGTCAAGTTGCCAGTTCTTCTCCAATTGGTCTATAAATTCAATGCAATCCCCAATCAAAATGCCACCAGGCTTTTTCTGTGGAAATGACACACTGTATTTTATTAAAGTTAAAATTTTTCTCTTTGAAAGATATGACAGTATTCTATTTGCAAAAGATTTGTTTGACCAAGGACTTGAGTTCAGAGTATACAAAGAACTTCAAATTCAACAATAAGAAGACAAATGACCCAATTTTTAAAGTGAGTAAAATATCTGAACAGAAGCTACACAAAATAACATATATGAAGCATATGAAAAGCACACAAGAGGATGGTCAATGTCAACACCCCTCAATGCAAATTATAGCCACAGGTAACCTAACTTGAGAGGTGAAAAGTATAAAAACTGACAATACCAAGTATTAGAAAGAATGTGAGTTCATTTGGAACTCTCATACACTGCTGTTTGAAGTGAAAATAGAACAGCCACTTGAAAACATTTTTGCAGTATCTCATAAAGATAATATACACTAAGCATGTGGTCCTCCTGGAGAGGTACAAATAAAAGGTATTTACCCAAATTAAGTGAAAACATGCATCCACACAAACACTTGTATACAAATTTTCATAGCAGCATTATTCATAATAGCCAAAAATTTTAAATACTCCCAAAGCCCTTCACAGATAAATGGATAAATTGTCGCACATTCGTACAATGGAGTTCTAACAAGCAATAAAAAGGAAAAAGTAACTGATACATGTGGCAACATAATAAATGTCAAAAACATCATGCTAAATGAAACAAGCCACACCCAAAGATTACACACTGCATGATTGCAATTATTTGAAATTCTAAAAGTGGGAAAAACCAAGTACATTTAGAGAAAATTAATGCTGCCTCAGGCTATGACTAAAAGGGGAAAGTTGACTACAAAACGGAAGTTCTTTGGGGAGTAATAGAAATGTCCTATAATCTTGATTGTGGTGGCATTTACACAATTATACATTTGTCAAACTCACTGAACTATTCTTTCAATTTGATATTGAGAAACCTGTCTTTGAGACTCAAATTTGCCATTTGTTAGTGCGTGCATTTAGACAAGACTACTTAATCTCTCTGAGACTCAATTTCCTAATCTTTAACATAGGAACAATAATGTTTATATCTTATTTTTCTTTTGTTTCAAGAGGCTAATAGTCAACAAAGCTTTAGGGTTTCTATGATGACCAAAATTCTAATGAAACAAAATATATTAATGTGCTTTATAAGTTGTGTAGTACTGTTACAGTATAAAGGATTATAATTATACACTTTTTCCGATAGCTTATTAAATCCAATATTTGATGTCTAACAAAAATACAATAAAAAGAAAATATAAAAAAATTCATTGAACTATATACTTAAAATGTGTAGATTTCTTTGTACATAAATTATACTTCAATAAATTTGAAAAGAAAAGAGTCTTGTAGATCTTGAGAAGCTGGAGTGACACATGACATATTACAAATGGTAAGATTTCCACGGAGGCAGGAGGAATCTATGTTCTCATATTTTGTGAAGTCTGTGTGAGATGTGATGTGATCCCAATAATCCCACTGGGTACTTATCCAAGAAAAATGAAGTAAGTATTCCGAAGAGGTATCTATGCCCCCATGTTCATTGCAGCACTATTCATGACAGCCAAGATGAAGAAACAACCTAAGCATCCATTGATGGAGGAATGGATAAAGAAAATGTGATCTCATACACACACACACACACACACACAGCGAGAAATATTATTCAGCCAATAAAAAGAAAATCCTGCCATTTGTTATAACATGGATGAACTGGAGGATATTGTGCTAAGTGAAATAAACCACACACAGAAAGACAAAAGATGTATGATAACACTTACATGTGGAATCTAAAAAAATTGAACTCGGATAGGAACAGTGGCTCACGCCTGTCATCCCAGCACTTTGGGAGGCCAAGGCAGGTGGATCATTTCAGGTCAGGGGTTCAAGACCAGCCTGGCCAACATGGTGAGAACTAGTTTCTACTAAAATACAAAAATTAGCTGGGCGTGGTGGCGGGTGCCTGTAGTCCCAGCTACTGGGGAGGCTGAGGCAGGAGAGTTGCTTGAAGCCGGGAGGCAGAGGTTGCAGTGAGCCAAGATCGCACCACTGCACTCCAGCCTGTGTGACAGAGTGAGACCGTGTATCAAAAAAATAAAAAAACTGAACCCATAGAAGCAGAGAATAGAATGGTGGTTGCCATGGGCTGGAGGGTGGGAAGTGGAGAGACAGCCAAATTGTACAAACTTTCTGTCATAAGATGAATACATTCTGGAGATCTAATGTAGATTATGGTGACTATAGTTAATAATACTGTACTGTATACTTGAAATTTGCTTAGAGATTAGATCTTAAGTGTCCTGACCCTCCCCGCTCCCCCTACACACAGTAACGATGTGAGATGATGGATGTGTTAATTTGACTGTGGTAATAATTTCACAATTTGGTTTGATTTATATATAATCACATTGTGCACATTAAATATATGTTATTTTATTTGTGCCTCAGTAAAGCTGGAAAAAATAAAATCAAAATAAAGAAATTTTTTTAATAATGCTATTCAGCAAAGAACAAGGATGTTAAGAGTTTTAAGCTATCTTTAATATGTCATTAACTAGGCCAACTAAAGCAAATTAAGCACATATTCTGCTTTGTTTCATTTAATAGCACTGTCTTCCTACAGGAGCTATGAATTTATTATCAGAGTTTATTATCAAACTTATTGTTTTGCTTTCGATTTTTAAAAAGTGAAAGATGTATACAATCTGAAGAGTAATCAGAGTATATTGTTTCTGATTTTTAAAAGCTATCTTAATTTATTAGCATTAACCCCAGTGACAAATTAAGCCATGTACAGATACTTCATCTTTTATCTTATGTTGCCATTTTTCCCGATAGAGAGTGCATTCTGTTCAGACAAAGTATGTTATATTTATACATGTTACCAAGAATTTCACAAACTGGGAGAGAGTACATGTCCAGTAAGATTTAGCTAATGAAGAATAAGTTAATGAATAAATGGACAGATGAACGAATCAGCCATTTTAAAGAGATATTAGTTTACTGTTCAATGTGACAAGAATGCAGACCTACAGGATAAATTATATAATTTAGTGTCTTTAAAAAGTGAACTTCAACCAAAAAATTATGACATATCCTTTACCATATAATAAATGGTGTTATTCATTATGTTTACTATTTTTCTTTGCTGTGACTATTTTTAGCTTCATTTAAGGTTTATTTAATAACCAAAAACTTCTTCAGCCTACATCTTTGCAATATTTCCCTTCTCTTCCTATACATATCAATGGTCAGTTCATAATTTAGCACATTGTCAGAAATATTGCCAATATTTTTTAAATAATCTCCTCATAATTATTCACACACACATTTATTTATGTTGAAACCACAGTCCACAATTTTCATGGAAATAAATATAGAATTGTAAAAGAACAAAATGGTACTAATCAAAACCTTTATCTCAACATAATATTTCAGAACTAAATATTAAACAGAGCAACAAATGGGGGAACTGAACTATTCCATGTTTTGTGAGCTGTTAGATGAAACACAAATCACAAAGAAGCAGGGAAACAACCTTTCAAAATGGATAAGACCCTAGGAAAAACAACAGCCAACATGATTTCCCTGTCACATCCCCCATTCCCACCCCATTAGTCTCTTCACTGCCCCTCTTACATCCTTGTTTCTGAAAGTGTAGATTAGAGGGTTAAGACTAGGTGTGACAACAGTGTAAAAGAGGGCAATGAACTTGCCTTGATCTTGAGAATTTTCTGATGGTGGCTGGAGATACATGCACATGACTGGAATGAAAAAGAGAGATACAACCATAAGATGGGCTCCACATGTCCTAAGCACTTTCTGAAGCCCAGTGGTTGATTGCATGCTCAGTACAGCCCGGGCAATGGCACCATAGGAAGTGAGGATGAGGATGAGAGGTATGAGAACAAAAATGGAGCTCATGACCATGAGGGTCAGCTCATTTGCCTAGGTATCAACACATGATAATCGCAGAAGTGCTGGAGCTTCACAGAAGAAGTGATCCACTAGGCGATGTCTACATAGGGGTATCCAGAAAGTAAAGGAGGAATGAAGTGCTGAGGTTGTAAAACCACTTACCCAAGAAGCCGCAGCCAACAAGCGGCAGAAACGAGGGTGCATGAGGACAGTGTAATGCAAAGGTCTACACACAGCTGCATAACGATCATAGGACATCACCACCAGTAGGACACACTCTGCGGTTCCCAGTGCGAGAACAAAGTAAAGTTGAACTGTACAACCAGCATAAGAGATGGTCTTTTCCGGGCCCCAGAGATTCACCAGCAACTGAGGGATAGAGCTGGTGGTGTAGCAGAGATCCAGAAATGAGAGATTTGAAAGGAAGAAGTACATGGGAGTGTGGAGATGGGAGTCCAGGTATGACAGGATGATGATGAACAGGTTTCCTATCAGTGTTATCAAGTAGAAGATCAAGATAACCACAAAGAGAACTACTTCCAGATGAGGCCAGTTAGAAAATCCAAGTAGAATAAAGAAGTCTTCAAAACTTGCATTTTTTTTCATCAACATTCTTATTTTTCCTGTACCTAAAGAAAGAATCGCATAAACTCAAAGTCTGTCCATGCATTGCCAACTGCTCACTTGCAAACAGATTGGAGAAAAAAGTATCCCAATTCCAGATAGTGTGCACCATTATGGCAGTAGAATTTTTATACAGTTTCCTTTGTATGCTTCATTGAGATATTTGTCCAGCTGTGGATACAAGTAATAGCTTTTCAAGTTACTGAGTTCTTTTATATACATCCTTGAGTTAACATTTGGATAAATGAAGACTAAGATATTCCATAATCAGAAAGACAATATTTAAGAAAATAATTTTTTATTTTAAAAAGTTAAATTGATTTTTTTTTGCATTTTCAGACTATTTCCAATTTTGCAGTTACAGAGAAAGGAATAACTGCAGCCATAATAATCTTACTTATAGATAGGAACTTCCCATGTTAAAGAGCAATTAGGTAGTCACTTTAAAATATTAATATGAACTGAAAAGAAATAATTGGATATGATTATAGAAAGAATTAAATGATATTCATTTATTTATGCTAGCAGTTTATTTCTAGACGAATAAAATAACATGCAAATGAAGGTTTAAACAGACATGCACACACACACCAACTTATAAAAATTCACAATATAAGCAAAGCTGATTAATAAAGTGAAATAGAGTAGAGATATCAGTGATAGAGTGCTTCCAAAGTTACATGGGGGTATAATTATTATTGGAAGACAGAAAGATTACAGAGTCTAACAAAAACACCGGGAGGTGTAAGAGAGAAAGGAAGAGTGCTTTGAGGCACAACAGTGAAGAGGAGGTCAGAATGTGGCATTTGAAATTGAAAGAATGTATAACACAGGATTGTTAGACAGGGACAAGAAGACTTAAATGTGGTTTCTAAAAAATTTTATATGCTTTAGGCCAATAACTGAACTATACTTTAAATTCTGAGTCACAACTTATAATTTGTATTTCTGGGTTTTCTTCAATATTCCTAAATAGCATTGCCATCCCCCTTCTGCTCCCCTCCTGCCACAGCCAACTCTTCCTCTCATACTCTCTGATAAAATATGACAAAAGACAAATTTATTTACACCCAACTCACCTTCAGTGTTTTGAAAAACTTTTAACAACTCAAATATTCTAATCTTGACTCTTGAAAAAGATGTAAGGGTTTGCCTAATTAGTTGAGTTACAGCTGGAGAGCTAGGAACGTTGAACTTGGGCCAAGTCTGTGCAGATGCTCCAGACAGGTACAAAGATATCTGTACACTTTTCCATATTGTTGATAATGAAATGATCATTACCTTTTGAGAAATCATGGAAAAATTGCAAGAATTTTTTTAAAAATTTCGCTAGGTTGAAAGGTAATATTCTGTAAGATACTTGAACTCAAATGTTGTGGATACTTTTGCTAATGCAGGTATAATTTTCTTTCCTAATGCAGCTGCCTGACTTCCTTACTACAGTAATTAAAAGGTGAAATCTGATATTTTTCTGTTGTATAAACCATCTTTCAGCATTCTTCCAGAGTCGATAAAAAGGATAGGAAATAAGGGACAAAAAAAAAAAAAAACCCAGAACTCACGTAGAGAAAAGTTTGCAGCTTCGATTTTCTTCTTGGAGGAAAAGAGGGAAATGAAGACCCTATCAAATGTAGCTTTTATGAACTATGGAATAAAATATCTTCTCTCTTCTTTTAAATCAAACACTGTAGGGAAAATGGATGGCTGAGTGTCTCTTCTTTCCCCAATTATTACTAAGAGACATTTTCCCAATTCGTGTCATATTCATTCCTTTATACTATATCTGGTTTGTTTTCTTACTTTTTCATTGACTAGTAATAATTGTATATATGTATGGAGTACATTGTAATGTTTTGATATGTATATACATCATAGAATGATTATATTAAGCTAGTTAATGTACCTATCACCTCACACACATCATTTTTTTGTAGTAAGAACATTTAAAATCTACACTTCCTGCAATTTTGAAATACAGAAGCTGTACACCCCTTAAGAAGTGCGCCAACTTCTTTCAGTACTGACCTTCCTGTGTTTGTCCCTGTTCCCTGTCACTCTCTACCTGGCCTACGACCTCATCATGTATAAACTGATGAAGGGGCTCTCTGGTTGCCATGCAACCTAGAAACATCAACCTAATTGCCTTCTTATAACATTTTTGCCAATGTTTTAAATCTAACTATGGAGAACAGAGTCTGGAAATAACTGTGATTGTCATTGCTACAGAAAAGAGAGCCTGAGTTTGTCCAAAAGATCTGCTTTTTAGCAGAATGTGGGAATACTTTAGAGCATTCAAGGTATCAGGGGATGGACCCTTTATCCCAGAGTAAATGGAATCTTTATGGAACCAAAAAGAATAATGGGATACTCTTTCATTGACTGGGGCCTTTGGGAGTATAAATCCCAAAGTTGCAATTAATGCCCTTCAAGTTGTCCTGGTGTGGTGTTCTCAGTACAAAACTCTTCACAGAAATATCTTCAGTATGATGTTATAGTCTTACTGTGATGACAGTGAATTTATCACTTACAAATATGGGAAAAGATGCTGTGAGTTATATTTACAATAAAGGGAATGGGTTTTACTGAGCCATGTGATTTTTTTTCAGTTTTCCATGGGGCTAAGGGTAAAATTTACAAGACAACTGGAAAAAAGGAGTGATTTCAGAGCCATTCAACTGAAAAACTAGAATACATAAAGACTAAACTGTATATCTATTCCTTACTAATGACGTGCTCTTTGAGACTGACCTATATTATTTATGCCATCCCAGTTGTCTTTTAAATTCAATTCCAAGATTTTTCCTGCAAAAGGTTAAAAAATATCTTGTGTTTAAAATCTCCCCTTTCCCCATCCCCTACCCCCAAGGTAGCTATATTCTACTCTCCACTTGCATGAGTTTATCTTTTTTAGATTCCACATATGAGTGAGATCACGTGGTATTTGTCTTTCTGTGTCTGGCTTCTTTCACTTTGCATAATGTCCTGCAGGTTCATGAATGTTGTTGAAAAGACAGAATTTCCTTTTTTCTTTAAGGCTGGATAGTATTCCATTTTATATAGATAATGTGGCTCATATATATCACATTATATCCCTTTTATATATTTATCTGTTTATCCATTGATGGGCATTTAAGTTCCTTCCATATCTCAGCTATTGTGAATAATGCTACAATGAACATGGTAGTGCAAATATCTGTAGTGAATTCTTATGATTTTATGTTGCCTCAGTGTTTATTTTCAATATAAGTTGAACTTTCTCATACCAGAAGCAGGGCTTAGTCACCCTTAACACAATTTCGAGTTCTCCTCTCCCAGTTTCTTCAGGTGGTCAATCCAGATATTTGGCCTCTTGGTTTCCACCTTCCTGTGGAGCACCTAGATACAACCTGTTTGACTTATCCCACTGATCCCCACACCCCACATGGACTGCAGACTTGCAGTAGTGAACACCTCTCAATACAACATAACTCCCAAGAACTCATGCCTGCTTGCTTTAAACCCAGCAATCAGTTACTCCCTGCTTAGGAAATGCTGTGTACCCCAGTAAAGGCTTCGGCCTTCTCGGCTGTCACTCACTCTCCCTTGCTACCCACCCACTGGTTGAGCATGCATGTCTCTGAGGGCTGCCCCTTCTCCCGTTAGGCCTGTGAGGAAAGTTTCCTTCTTCTCTCTGGATCTTTAAGTAATAAAACTACTTCTATTACGTGTTTTTTTTTACTTGCGTCTCGCGTGACTGACATACGTGAAATTAACTTCTTTTCTGGACAAGGCTCTCTTAAAGAGTGGTTATCTTGGTAGGAATGAACTGGACACACTAGTCAGACAAGAGCCACAAGGGTGTCTGCCAGTGAAAATGAGTTTCCAGTGAGAGGGACACCTGGTCATAAATAGGACAATTAGGCATTAGCTCTCCATCAGGATATAGAAGTATTCCACGAAAAAAACACTGAAAACATCCACAACCACAACCACCTCCACTGGAGCCCATCAGAGCAGGGCTAGAGTTTCTGGCTCCTCTTCAAAGAGAGACGTTAAGACCAAATTAGAGGAAAATCTACCAATATATTTTTAACATATTAATTTCAATCTCTTTGGCTATGTACTCAGAAATATAGTTGCTGGATCATATGGTAATTCTATCTTTTTTTGAGGAACCTCCATGCTGATTTCAATAATGGCTGTATTAATTTACATTACTACCATTAGTATATAAGGATTCCCTTCTCCACATCCTTGCTAATACTTATTAACTCTTATTTTATTGATATAGCCATTCTAACAGGTATGAGGTGATATCTTATTGTGGTTTTAATTTGTATTTCCTTGATGTTGAGAAATTTTGTTATGTATCTGTTAGTCTTTTATGTCATCTTTTGAAAGATGTCCATTAAGTGTTTTGCTCAGTTTTAAAAGGGGTTCTTTGTTTTCTTGCTAACAAATTTAAGTTGTTTGCATTTCTTACATATTTTGGATATTAGCCATGTATGGTTTGTAAATATTTTCTCCCAGTCCATGGGTTGTCTCTTCAATCCGTTATTTACTTTGTTATACAGAAGGTTTTTGGTTTGAGGTAATCCCATTTGTCTATTTCTGCTTTGGTTTCCTGTGCTATTGAGATCATCACCAATAAATTATTGCCAAGATTAATTTCAAGAACATTTTTCCCTATGTTTTCTTCTAGTAATTTTACATTTTCTGGTCACACATTTAAATCTTTAAACCATTTTTAGAGGATTTTTGCATATGGTGTGAAATAAGGTTTCAATTTCATTGTTCTGTATTTGGGTATTTGATTTTCCCAGCATCATTTATTAAAGATACTGCCCTTTCTCCATAGTGTGTTCATTCTTGGCATCTTTGGCAAAAATCAGTTAACCACAAATGCATGAGTTTATCTCTGGGCTCTCTATCACATTACATTGGTCCGTGTGTCTGTTGTTATGCCACTACCTTTCTGTTTTGAATACTATAACTGTGTAATATATTTTGAAACAGGTAGTGTGATGCCTCCAGCTTTGCTCTTTTTGCTCAAAAGTGCTTCAGCTACTTAGGGGTTTTTGTCATTCCATATGAATTTTTAAATTGCTTTTTCTATTTCTGTGAAACAAAAAAGTCATTGAACTTTTATAGAAATTGCACTGAATCTGTGTATCACTTTAGGTAGTACACATATTTTAATAATATTAATTCTTCCAAACCATGAATGCAAAATCCATCATATTCTGGGTTTTTGTTTGGTAGAAGACTTTTATTACTGATTCAACCTCCTTACTCATTATTAGTCTGTTCAGATTTTCTGTTTTTTTCATGATTCATTTTTGTTATGTTTCTAGAAATTTAACCATTTCTTCTAGGTTACCCTATTCGTTGGTGTAAAATTGTTCATAGTATTCTTTTATGAGCTTTTGTACTTCTGTAGTATCAATTGTAATGTCTCCTCTTTCATTTTTGACTTTATTAGAGTCTTCTTTTCTTCTTAGTTGGTCTACTCAAGTTTTGCCAATTGTTTTTATCTTTTCAAAAATTCAAGTCTTAGTTTTGTGAATGCATTCTATTGTTTTCTAGCTTCTTATTTATTTCTGCTCTGATCTTTGTTATTTCCTTCCTTCTGCTAACTTTGGGATTAGTTTGCTCTTCTCTTTTTCTGGTTTCTTGAAATGTAACATTAGGTTGTTTGGGATCTTTCTTCTTTTTTAATATAGGCATTTATTACTACAAACATTCCTCTTGCTAATATCTTCTTTTGCTACATGCCATAAGTTGTGGTATGTTGTGTTTTCATTTTCATCTGTCTTAAGATTTTTTTTAATTTTGCTTTTGATTTTTTATTTAACCCATTGTTTATTCAGGAGCATGTTGTTTAATTTCCACGTTTGTAAATATTTTAAATTTTCTCCTATTATTCACTTCTACTTTCATAACTTTGTGGTCAGAAAAGATACTTGATATGATTTCGATCTTCTTAAAACTGTGGAGACTTATTTTGTTCCCTAATATTTGATCCTGGATAATGTCCCATTTGCACTTGAGAAGAATGAGTATTCTGTTGCTGTTGGATGGAATGTTCTATATATGTCTGTTAGGTCCATTTGATCTAATGTGCGTTTCAAGTCCAGTGTTTCCTTATTGATTTCTGTCTAGATGACATGTTCATTGTTGAAAGTGAAGTGTTGAAAAACCCTGCTATTACTGTATTGCAGTCTGTTTCTTTTTAGGTCTATTAATACTTTCTTTATACATTTAGATGATCTAGTATTAGGTGTATATATATTTACAATTGTTACGTCCTTTTGATGAATTGACCCTTTTATCATGTAATGACTTTCTCTGTCTCTTTTTACAGTTTTGGACTTAAAGTCTGTCTAATATAAGTAGAGCTACCCCTGCTGTCTTTTGGTTTCTACTTGCATGAAATATTTTTTTCAGTCAATGTGTGTTCTTTAAGTTAAAGTTAGCCTCTTACAGGCAGCCTATGTTTGAGTATTGTTTTTCAGTTTTTTCCCAAAGCAAATCATTTTAGTAGGTTGTCAAATATACAATTATTGGAAATATCTAAATATTACCTGTAAAAATCAGCATATCACATTAGATAATTCTATAAAGTAAGAAAACACAAATCACACATTGCCAATAACCGCTGCAGTCCAAGAATATCCTCCTGTCAATAGTACAAATTACAAACACATTTTTAAAACTAAAGATGTTATTTAGACATTTAAACCAAAGTAACCATGACTAGCCTAAATACATTCATTCATCAAGTACAATAAATTTAGCATTGCTACTTACAGTCACTAATAACACAATTTTAGGTGCAATTTTACCTAAAATTTCATAAATTTTCCAATACAGTTCCAATAGTAAAGTGTCTTTGTGCATGCCATTTCCATTTATATGTGGGTGCATCATATATCAGACTTAAGGCTATTTCACCTCATTATTAAATTGTTCATAAATATATAAAGAAAGTGAACACCAGGCCAAAATTTAATCCCAATGATAAAAAAATATATATATATATATAATATATATAAAATATATATATTATTAAAAAGTCAGGAAACAACTGTGAGCCAAAATAAACCTTTTTTCTTTGTAAATTACCCAGTCTTAGGTATTCCTTTATAGCAATGCAAATGGATGAATGCAGAAACAAAGGATCGGTCTGCATTTCTTAACTTCAGAAACTACAGTCTTTGTAGTTTCCTTTGTAGTACCTTTGTAAAGACGAAGATCTTTAAATAGTTTAGTGCTTAGTGTCCTTGTTAAAGTATAACGTTATATAATGAACACCGGCTGATAAATTATTGATGCATTAACTGGCAACATTTCAAAAAAAATTCAAACTCGAAATCTCAGTTTAGAATCTTCCAAGTGAATGAGAACCCCTAACTCTGTTCAGGTCAAATGTTGCCCCCTCACAGAAACTGACTGACCATGCTGTCTAAAGTAACAGCCTCAGCTAATTTTGATTCTCTTACCCTGCTTTCTTTTTCTTCATAGCATTTATCACTATCTGACATTGTATTATATATCTATTTACTTATTATTAGTTTTCTATCTCCTTACTAGTATGTAAGCTTCATTAGAACAGAGACTTTATTTCTTTTGATTATCAATATATCTCCTGTGCACATGACAGTGCCTGACACTTATCACCATGACATAAAGATTTATTGAGTAAATGATTAAATGGTTTGTTTCCATGTTCATGTTCCAACCAGACACATAGGCAGGTATTGTGGCTTATCTCTGAAGTCCTTGGCACTGGCTGGCTGGCATAGAACCTTGCAAACAATGAATAAATAAATTACCCTGATCGATCAGTGTGCCTGGATAGAGAAGACATGTAGCAATGCTGCACCCCTGGATGTGCTATTAATACAATTATACAGCATGGAATACTATGTAGCCATAAAAAAGAATGAGTTCACGTCCTTTGCAGGGATACGGATGAAGCTGGAAGCCATCATTCTCAGCAAACTAACACAGGAACAGAAAACCAAACACCTCATGTTCTCACTCATAAGTGAGAGTTGAACAATGAGCACACATGGACACAGGGAGGGGAACTTTACACACCGGGGCCTGTCAGGGGGTGGGGGGCAAGGGGAGGGAGAGCATTAGGACAAATACCTAATGCATGCAGGGCTTAAAGATGACAGGTTGATAGGTGCAGCAAACCATTATGGCACATGTATACCTATGTAACAAACCTGCACGTTCTACACATATATCCCAGAACTTAAAGTAAAATAAAAATAATAATAATTTATAAAATACACTTAAAATTTTTTTTTAACCAAGATTGTTCTCTTGAGGTTAACTTATTACTACTTTGAGTTGCCAGGAGTGATTGCACATTTCTTGGGAATCCCTAAGTCACCAAGAATAAAGACCACTTGTAATAACTAAGGCATATTCAACAATAAAATTCTAGAGATTCGGGATATTTGATATTTGCTTGTAACATTTCACTTTTTAGCTTTTATTCATTTAATAAATGTTTTCTTTATCATCTTGTATACTCATGAACAGTTTTAAGTGTCCATTCAAATCATTTCATTGGGAAAAAAAAAGTCAGGAAACAACAGATGTTGGCAATGCTGGGGAGAAATAGGAACACTTTTACACTGTTAGTGGAAATGTAAATTAGTTCAGCCATTGTGGAAGACAGTGTGGCGATTTCTCAAAGATCTAGAGCCAGAAATACTATTTAACCCAGCAATCACATTACTGGGTATATACTCAAGGGATTATAAATAATTCTACTATAAAGACACATGCACACATATGTTTATTGCAGCACCATTTACAACAGCTAAGACTTGGAACCAACCCAAATGCCCATCAGTGACAGACTGGATAAAGAAAATGTGGTACATATACACCATGTAGCCATAGAAAAGAATGAGTTCATGTCCTTTGCCGGGACATGGATGAAGCTGGAAACCATCATTCTCAGCAAACTAACACGGGAACAGAAATCCAAACACCACACGTTCTCACTCATAAGTGGGAGTTGAAAATAAGAACACGTGGACACAGGAAGGGGAACATCACACACTGGGGCCTGTTGAAGGGTGGCGGCACAGGGAGGAGAGCGTTAGGACAAATACCTAATGCATGAGGGGCTTAAAACCTAAATGACAGGTTGATAGGTGCAGCAAACCACCATGGCACATATATACCTATGTAACAATACTGCATGTTCTGCACATGTATCCCAGAACTTAAGGTAAAATTTTTTTAAAAAAGTAAAACCACAAAAAATAAAATAACTTTTCTATTATAATCCAAGCACAACAAATTGTATTTGAAAACTAATTACAAATATATATTACATATAGAAAGTATGTATATATGTCTATTAAACTTATATATAAATTATTAGCTACAACAGATGTCATATAGTTACAAAAATCACAGGCTAAGAAAATGTCCTAATTTAGAAAATGATCATATTCTACACAAAAAGAAAAATGAGGAAAAATAGATACATTAAAATACGAGCACATTAGTTTCCTTAAGATTATATCTAGGCTGATGCTCAATTCAATTACAACTTCTTTATTTTACTAAGATCTTAGGATAAGCACTTATTAAGTCACATATTAAGTCATAACTTGCATAAATCAGCTTTTTTTTTTTGGAGATGGAGTTTCGCTTTTGTTGCCCAGGCTGGAGGGCAATGACTTATCTTGTCTCCCCAGGTTCTAGCGATTCTCCTGTCCCGCCTCTGCCTCCCGAGTAGCTGAGATTACAAGCACCCACCACCATGCCCAGCTAATTTTTTGTATTTTTAGTAGACACTAGGTTTCACCATGTTGGCCAGGCTGGTCTTGAACTCCTGACCTCAGGTGATCCGTCCGCTTCGGCCTCCCAAAGTGCTGGGATTACAGGCGTGAGCCACCGCCCCAGCCCTCAGCTGCTTCTTTCAAAAACTATTCCCCCTATTGCAATTTCATGTAATTTCTGTGTGTTCTGACCCAGTGAATTAATGCTAACCTTAAATTTCAATGTGTATATTAATATGTTAAGTGACTTTGTATGACATAATTTTTAACCTACAGATCTCTGGTAGCTTTAGTTTACAAACACTTATTACTAAAATCAGTGAAAATAGAAATATCATTTTTCCCTATACGCCATCATAGGACTCCCTATTTGACCTTGCAACTATTTAAAAGGAATTTGGGGCTATAAGTTCATTAAACCTTGTGCTTTCCTAATTAAACAACTTTAAATTTATTTTTCATTGTTTATTTTTGTTACTCTAATCTTCACCCTAGTTTTAGAATTTGTGAACGACATATGTGGTAGTATTATGCAACCAGCCCAGTTAGGAATAGAGTTGACTTATTGACTCTCTGGACATAATGACCAATTAAACTTGAGGGACTCTAGAATCTCTAGGGCTAAAAAGAGGACACAGAATTGTGTGAGTGGTACTCCCTTAATAAATATTGGTTGGCTTTATTTAAAGGCATAACTTTCTTTCCATGACACTTCCAATGTTGTTGATGTCTATAAAGTCAACTTCTCGTTGTAGAAATCCACTAGGAACCTGGTGAGGAGAGCCCATGTCAGTCAAAAATGCCCCAATGACTGAAGACACACTAACTATACACATTTTCCTCTCCTCATAAGTATTTTTCTCACATGTTCTTGATGCAGTCCAGGTTTCATGCTAATTTCATTCTTGGTCAGTGGGCAAAAGGTAGTTGAGTTAGAATGTCGTAAAGATTGAAAATTCAAAAACTCAACTGCATTTATTAATCTGTCTTTGAACCAGACTTCCTTTGAAACACAGCACAAAGAAAGGCGTGAATATCTCTTGGACATTTAGAAAAAAGGTGAGTGGCGTCTAATACAGTGTATTATATTACCATGAGTGGGAAGGATCTCTCAAGAACATCTCACCTACATCCCTGCCTCTGAGTTGCATCATGTTAAATAATCAGAATGCCCAATTTGTTTCCTGGGAACTTTGAAATTAATATGAAGTATTTTCAGTGATTCCAAAAATCCTTCGTATCCTTTCACCCTTTTGAATGGTTTGCTCATTATATCTCCGTACATAAAAACGGTCAGTGGGATTTAAGATTTCTTTTGATTCATGTAGAAAATAGAAATAGGACAAAAAGTCAACGTGACAGTGGAATCAACATGTTCTTGTCAAGAGGTAAGTTCATTTTCTGATAACGTAAAAGAGAAATTGGCGCCATATAAAATATGAAGAAAATAAGAGAAATTATCAGTGCCATATAAAATGTGAAGAGAAGAGGACGTGAAAAAATAGGAGTAGAAAATAACAGCTACTGAATAGGGTCCTCTTTTATTCCATGCCCTTTAGATAACCAGATATCACCTACTACATTGATTTAACTTCCATTTACTGGAAAACTATGTACTCAGTATATTATGCTAGAAACAAAGACAAAGTGATAATATGAAATTCAATAATTTCATGTTATAATATTATGAAATTATAACAATCACTTGAACCACCAATAGTAAATTTTCTGTTTTCTCATATACAAGACAAGCTGAGATAATGATATAGTATTACTATTAATGACTTATTAGTGATTAGTATTAATGATACTGCTATTGATATCAAGCTCACATTCATTAAATGCTTAGTATGCTTGGGACAGGGTCCTAAGTTCAGATGTGTATACATTGTCTCACTTGAGCTTCACAATACTCTCTTTTTATCAAGTCAGAGATTGTTTTTTAATGTAGCACAAGAATGTTCATTCATTGCCCAGGATCACACAATCCAGTAATAAAACCCTGGCAGATTCTGGCTCCAGAGGCACTGTACCTAACAGCTAACCTTTAACAGTGATTTTTTTTAATGCTACTAAGTAGGAAGACAATGTGATACTTTCTTCTTGTTTTTATTTGTGTTTCTTCAATAATGAAAAAGTTATAATCTTTTATACTTTCACTGTCATTTTATGTTGTTTTCTTCCCCAAACTGCTTATTTATGTCCATTGCTCATTTTTTTCCATTGGACTTTTGATCTTTTTCTATTTATTATGTAATAATTATTTATATTTTAATATAATAACCATTTTTTCCATAAACATTGTATATTTTTCTATCTTGCCATTTATGTTTTATCTTTCTGTGTAGTCTTTTTCTGATATAAAAAATTGTATTAATGAGTAAAAATTGTATATATTTATAGTGTACAACATGATGTTTTGATATATGTGTACATTATAAAGTGGCTAAATCAAGTTATCTAATGTATGTATTACCTTACATATTTATCATTTTGTAAATTTACATGGACATTCAAAAAAGCCTAATCTCATATTCTCTTCTATTTTTCAACCAAAGGTGTATTACTGTTATTTGCCAAAAAATAATGTGTATCTATAGCTAAAAAAAATCATATATAATGGAAGAAGTTAAAAATCTCAAGGTCATCTCTGTTCATTTTCATTTATTCATTCCATTATCAAATTATACTTTATATATCAGTGTTTTTACTCTGGAAAAGTTATCTTATTCTGTGGTAAATTGTGTCAATACTTATTTTCTCTTCTCTCTTCAGTCTATCTTTCTATTTTTATGCTTGCAAATTCAAATGGTGTAAACCACCTCGATGACATTTCATTTAAACATGCAAAGTAGACTGAAGAAACTTAGGTGCACTTAGGTAATATAACTAAATAACTGATGACTTTTACAGACTGAAGAAAATCAACTTGAATATATGACTTTTGGTTTGTTTCTATTTTAATTTATGACCACTTTTGTGCTGTATGCAGTCATTCTTATTGTACTATCTGTGTATTTAGGGGGAAATACGGTATAAAAGAAAGAATGATCTTTAAATCCTAGGTGTTAGTCTTGACCTCACCAATAATGAGTGTGCAAATTATTTATTCTTACTGAATCACAGAAGCAATAAAATGCAAACCATGACTGTGAGGGGTTTGATGAGAATTACAAAGAATGTATTTCACACACTGAGCAGTTTCTGGCACATGTTAAGTAAAGCAACAATTATGTTATCAGTTTTGCTATTTTAATTAAGGTATTTGCAGATGGGGAGATGACATCTGTGGTCATTACTATATATCACAAGTAGCCATAATTTTATTACTAATACCCACGGTAGTTCTTTGTGGAAATGGACCTACATGCATGGCATTTAGGAGACAGACACAACTCAAAAAAACACGTAAAGATGTTACTAAAAGAAGCAAAATTTCTTTAGATCAATTGCAGATTTAGATTCAACTCTTATACCCTCTATATTACTCAGCATTTTCAGGCCAAATTTAAAATAATTGGAGTAAAAGTAATATTTCTTTCTAAACTGTTTATTAAGATAGGTTAGGAGGTAAGAAGAGGAGAGAACATAAAATGCATTGAGAACTCACAATTTTCCATGTGTTATGCATATGTTACATACTTTATGTCATTTAAATGTAATGATTTTCTTTAAAGTAATTTAAACACTACTGAAAACACAGGAACTACTTTTAAGCTTAAACATAACCATATTATACTTTACAAGGGCTTTATCCACTTGACTGTAAATTGTATTTGATGCTGAGCTATTCATTAAATTTAATTCAGCTCCAGTAAGAGTATTCAATAAACAAACATTGATTGCTTTCCTATCTTACATTTTTTTAGGAGTGCGAAATAAGTGAGTCATCATGAATTGGGAAAATGAGAGCTCCCCAAAAGAGTTTATACTACTTGGCTTCTCAGATAGGGCTTGGCTACAAATGCCCCTTTTTGTGGTCCTGTTAATATCATACACAATCACCATATTTGGCAATGTGTCCATCATGATGGTGTGCATTCTGGATCCCAAACTTCATACTCCCATGTATTTCTTTCTCACTAATCTCTCCATCTTAGATCTCTGCTATACCACAACTACAGTCCCTCATATGTTGGTAAATATTGGTTGCAACAAAAAGACCATCAGCTATGCTGGCTGTGTGGCCCACCTCATCATCTTCCTGGCCCTAGGTGCTACAGAGTGTCTCCTTCTGGCTGTTATGTCCTTTGACAGATATGTGGCTGTTTGCAGACCCCTCCACTATGTAGTCATCATGAATTATTGGTTCTGCCTAAGGATGGCAGCCTTCTCATGGCTCATTGGTTTCGGCAACTCAGTGCTGCAGTCTTCCTTGACTCTTAACATGCCACGCTGTGGTCACCAGGAAGTGGACCACTTTTTCTGTGAGGTGCCTGCACTTCTCAAGTTGTCATGTGCTGACACAAAGCCTATTGAGGCTGAGCTCTTCTTCTTTAGTGTACTAATTCTTCTAATTCCAGTGACATTGATCCTCATCTCCTATGGCTTCATAGCTCAAGCAGTATTAAAAATCAGGTCAGCAGAAGGACGGCAAAAAGCATTTGGGACATGTGGGTCCCACATGATTGTGGTGTCCCTCTTTTATGGAACAGCCATTTATATGTATCTTCAACCACCTTCATCCACCTCTAAGGACTGGGGAAAGATGGTTTCCCTCTTCTATGGAATCATCACATCCATGTTGAACTCCCTCATCTACAGCCTTAGAAATAAAGATATGAAGGAGGCCTTCAAGAGGCTGATGCCAAGAATCTTTTTCTGTAAGAAATAAGAAGTACTCCATTGTGATGAGAATCTTCTTAGTCTTTCCTTATCTTCAATGATGGTAATGACCTTTGAACTCATTTTCCTATTTTCCAGGCTCTGGTGATTTCACTAAATTCTGTCAACAATTAGAAAATCCTTCCTCTGTTGGCTGGGCGCGGTGGTTCACGCCTGTAATCCCAGTACTTTGTGGGGGCCAAGGTGGGCAGATCACATGAGGTCAGGAGTTCGAGACCAGCCTGGCCAACATGGCGAAACCCCATCTCTACTAAAAGTACAAAAAAATTAGCAGGGCATGGTGGTACACGCCTGTAATCCCAGATACTCAGGAGGCTGGGGCAAGAGAATCGCTTGAACCCAGGAGTCAGAAGTTGCAGTTAGCCCAGATCGCGCCACTCACTCCAGCGTGGGTGACAGAGTAGGAATCTGTCTCAGGAAAAAAAAAAAAAAAAAAAAAAAAAAAGGAAAGAAAGAAAAGTCTTCTTCTGTTTAGGAAGCAATGCTGAACCCATATGACATGTCTTCAAAGTTAGAAACTCCTTTCTTTTCAGAAGTTCCCCCAATGTACTCTGTTCCTTGAGACAAGTCATGTCAATTTCCTATCAACTTCAGGGTAGTCAGGAGACTTTGATGGATTGCCTTCCACTTGTATACTATTATTCTATAACCATCCTGTCTACGCCTTTAGTTAGGGATTTTAATATCCTTATAATTAAATTACCAGTTATTCCAAGCCAAAAATTATTCCATCAGAATCAAAGTCTTCAAACACTTTGAACCCTCTGATCTCTTGATAAAATTCATCATATGCACCTTTTCAGAACTGTTTTTGGTATGTAATTTGGCTTCAATCTAGCTGGCTTTGTTTTTGTTTTGTTTGAGAATGAATTTTACTCTTGTTGCCCAGGCTGGAATGCAATGGCACGATCTCAGCTCACTGCAACCTCCACCTCCTGGGTTCAAGTGATTCTCCTGCTTCAGCCTTCCAAGTAGCTGGGATTACGGATGCCCGCCACCATGCCCAGCTAATTTTTTGTATTTTTAGTAGAAACGGGGTTTCTTTGTGTTGGCCAGGCTGGTCTCGAACTCCTGACCTCAGGTGCTCCACCCATCTCAGCCTCCTAAATTGCTGGGATTACAGGCATGAGCCACTGCACCCAACCAATCTAGCTGGTTTTAAACCAGCTAAGTGTGTGCATCTCAATCTGGAAACCTTAAATGTCAGTTGAGTTTTATTTCAAATTCTATTTTCAATTCATCTCTTTATTCCTCCGGATAGCATTTATCCTTTCTTCCCTTTTGTTAAATTCCTTATTTGTCCCAAGTTCTACCTCAGGTATGTGGCATCTTTTCTAAATTATAGAGCTAATTATAGAAATGTTAATGGGAATCCTTTTTTCTCATATTGACCTGAATTAGCTTACTCTTTATCTGTGGTAGTCATTCAATAAACATTTATTGTTCACAAGACAGCAGTAGTCCAGAGGAGAAATATCACAGTTCCTCTGCTGAAGAAATGTGCTAGTTCCAGAAGGCAATGATTCTTAAACTGAGACATTTAAATGATGGTTTACAGTTAGTAATGTAAGGACACAGATGAGGCAACATTTCAGGCAACAGAGAAAGCTTTACAAAACAAAGCATTTCATCATTACAAGTAATTTAGCAGTTAAACAATACAAAACCAGGCAAGATGAGGTTGACGATGTAATATAATTATATATTATATATAGTTCTATATCACATATAATTATGATAATGATATATTATATATAATTATATTATATATTATTATATTATATATTATTATATTATATATAATTATATTATATAATTATAATTATCTTATATACAATTACAATTATATTATATATAACTATAATAATATTTAGATGACATTTCAAATAAGTGGAAAAAGAAGAGACTGAAGAAATGTCTGTTGAGTTTTATTTCAAATTCTATTTCAATTCATCTCTTTATTCCCCTGGATAGCATTTCTCCTTGTTTTTCCCTTTTGTCAAATTCCATATTTGTCCCAAGTTCTACCTCAGGCATGTGGAATGACCCCTTAATTATAGAGCTAATTATAGAAATGTTAATGGGAATCATTTTTCCTATATCGATCATATCTTCAGAAAACACAAAAAATGAAAGAACACAAAGGGATCCACCTTTTACCTGGATCTCTGTTGTTACCCAATCTACCTTTATGCACTTCTCCCAACTCACTACCAGCGGAGTTTGCGTTTTTTCGTGTGCATTATATCAGAAAATATTCCTATGTTTTCTGGTATTTAAAACATAATTGAAATAGCTGCAAATTGGGCCGGGCATGGTGGCTCACACCTGTAATCCCAGCACTTTGGGAGGCCGAGGCGGGTGGATCACGAGGTCAGGAGATCGAGATCATCCTGGATAACACGGTGAAACCCCGTCTCTACTAAAAATACAAAAAAATAGCCGGGCATGGTGGCAGGCGCCTGTAGTCCCAGCTACTCGGGAGGCTGAGGCAGGAGAATGGCGTGAACCCAGGAGGCGGAGTTTGCAGTGAGCCGAGATTGCGCCACTGCACTCCAGCCTGGGCGACAGAGCGAGACTCCATCTCAAAAAAAAAAAAAAAAAAAAAAAAGCTGCAAATTTAATTTCACCAAGGAAGTGTATTAAAATCTATTTAACCACTTTCCTATTGTTGAGCATATTTACACTCCTTGTTTTGATTATTGTTACTACTACTGCCAATAATTCAATATGAATTTGTGTCTAAATGTCAGTTTATATTCTGAAAAACTGAATTACTGGCTCTAATTATAAATTTCTTAGAAGATCTAAGAGTTAATAGATATGGTCAAATTGTGCTGTAGAAATTTTATAACATTCCACATTCCCAGATAGATCACTGTATATAGCAAATGAGAATGGTTGCTTCACGAGCTTTTGCAAACTCTGAGAGTTTCATCTTTTGATGAATATGCCAATTTTAGAAGCAGAAACATTATCAAGTTCCTATTTGTTATTTCCTTGAGTATTTTGAAAGTAGAGTATTTTTCATAAATTGAATACATTAGGAATGTTTATAAATATTTTATTTTTTCTCCCCTTCTAGGCAGATGGTAAAATTGCACATCCCTGTCCTATCGAATGCAGACCTGGCTGTTTAATATGATTTGCCAATAAAATGTGAAGAGAAATGATGTGGGTTATTTTTTGATGACTTCAAAATCTAGTACATACTCTGCCATGTTCTCTTTCCCTCTGGCAATCAAAACAATGTTCCAGGTAGGTTCTCAATCAGCCTGAAACAAATGTTAGGAAATTAAAATATGAGGCACTGGCAAAAGGATCACATGGCAGATGATGAGGGATATGATAGTAAAGCTTGAAACTGAGAGGGGCCAAGATGGTCAGTGACACAGCCAGGAAGAACATCTTCCACAACAGACCAGGATATCAGGAAGACTGGCATACTCCGAGCCGATCTTCGGAGGGAAGGCATTGAGGGTGGACAGAGGGAGGACATAGAACCTGGGCTGGAGGGTGAGAAACCTCGGAACTTTGCACGGAGTTGCAGAGTACCCGGACTCGTTTCTGGCCCATGTTCTTGGCCCGCAGTGACTCCTGGGGAAGAGGTCCGTTGAACACACGAGGAGTGGCCACTCTCGCCACAGACCTCCAGAATCCCAACTGCAGGAGACCCCATGACCCCGCGGACACTTGAGCTGGCAGGGAGAGCTATTTGGAAAGGTGGCAAGGACAGGACTTCAGCCTGTGAAAAGCCCAGAGGGTCTGACACAGGAACGGCTGCAGTGGAGCATGGCCAGAGACGCCCATTCCCCCAAAGCTCACCATGCTCCTCTAGGTGGTCTCAGCCTATGGTAACTGCCAGACCTGAACGGAGCAGGGCTATCTTACCTGTGGGATGGGACCAGTCTAATCTGAGTGCTCCCTTGTCTGCCGGCCTCTCCTGGGGTAGACTGGCTAAAGAAAATGTGCTACATATACACCATGGAATACTAAGCAGCCACAGAAAAAGAATTAGATGATGCCTTTTGCAGGAACATGGATGGAGCTGAAGACCATTTTCTTAAGCAAAGTAACGTAGGCACAGAAAACCAAATACCTCACACTCTCATTCATAAGTGAGAACTAAACACTGAGTACACATGAACACAAAGAAGGGAAAAGTAGACTCTGAGGCCTACTTGAGGGTGGTTTAGTTTTTTAAGGACTAAAAAACTACCTATCATATACTATGCTTATCACCTGGGTGGTGAAATAGTCTATACAACAAACCCTATGAAATACGATTTACCTACGTAACAAACCTGCACATGTACCCCTGAACCTAAAGTAAAAGTCTAATAAAAAATGAGAGAGATTGAAATTATGGTGCCAGGTTTGGTGGCTCACACCTGTAATCCCAGCACTTTGGGAGGCCAAGGTGGGCAGATTGCCTGAGCTCAGGAGTTCAAGACAAGCCTGAGCAAAGTAGTGAAAACTCATCTCTAAAAAAATACAAAAATTCATTGGGTGTAGGAGCAAACACTTGTAGTCCCAGCTACTAGGGGATGCTGAGGCAGAAGGATCACCTGAGCCTGGGAGGTTAAGGCAGCAGGGAGCCAAGATCACACCACTGCAGAGTACAGACAGAGAAGACCCTGTCTCAAAAAAAAGAAAGAAAGAGAAGAAAGAGAGAAAGAAAGAAAAAGAAAGAAAGAAGAAAGAAAGACAGGGAGGGTGAAAGAAAGAGGAGAAAAAAGAAAGAAAAGAAAGAGAAAGAAAGAAAGAGAGAAAGGAAAGAAAAGAAAGAGAAAGAGAGAGGGAGGGAGGGAAGGGAAAGAAGAAAAAAAAGGGAAGGAAGGAAGGAAAAAGGGAAGGAAGGAAGGAAGGAAGGAAGGAAAAAGAGAAGGGAGGGAGGAAGGGAGGGAGGGAGGAAGGGAGATAAAGTGATCCATGTTATACAATAAGGAAACATTTCATAAACTATCACCTGCAATAACTTAGAAGGCAGATAATGAACCTAACAACTGAGTGGAACCCGAGGGTTATGAAGAACAATGGATGGAGGAGCTACTTTTCAATGAGTGGGATATAGGGACATTTCCAAACTCACATTTGGAACGCCTCACAAGAACTGCCCAGTGGTTACAGTGATTGTTTAACTTCTGGGAAGACATTTTAAGGGCAGAGTGTGTTTTGCAACTTTTATTTCCCTCTATCACAACAATCTAGAGAACTTTGGATAGTGTCTACTTCATCAGTTTGGATCCCTAATGCACAATGACATGGACAAGTCCCTAGCAACATTCAATAAACACAAAACATAAGCAAAAATGAAATATTTGTTGGTTTAAGCCTTTATGATGGACTTGTTTACCAGCATATGTTAATTGGCCATTTTTTTTAAAAAAAATAATATTATGGAGAAATACTCACTGTTAAGTGGTGGAGAAAACTCAAGAAACGATTCTACACTTAGAACATGACCCTAATTTTATGTATACCTATATGTGTAAGAAAACACTAGAAATAAGTTCACCAAGCTAACTGTGGTGAGGTAAGTGACAGGATATCAGGAAATTTTTATTCCAGGCTTCTTATTTTTCTGTATTTTCTGATTTCATCATACAATTTCTTAAGTATTAGGAAAAAGTCTAAACATCATAAAACTGGTGCTCTAAGTCTATTTCACCTTGAAAAGTCTTGCATTAATGTTTATTTGCTTCCCATTAGACACTATCTTAAAGCCATAATAACCTAAAGTTGAATTTTATTTGAAATAAAAATTATTGATAGTGAAATTTTTATTAATGTATTTATAAATTTGGCAACTAATTTTAGAAATATCTACTCCAACCTTCAAGCTTACCATTAATAATTTCCCAAAGTCTTCTTAAAAATAATTTTATAAATATTTATACTTTGGGGGGCATTAGTAACTTAAATAACAAAAATAAGATGGGTTGAGCTCTAAAATTTGAATCACCATCAATGTTCTAAAATATTTTTATATTACTTGTATCTACATTATTATCACATACCACCTAAATCAGAGACACTTAAATTTTCTCTGCCTTCCTAAGTGCACATCCAGAGCAAAGATATTATATATAGATATATAGTATATACAGATATTAAAATAGTTATAAATTTGCCTAATGTTTTTCAATCGCTTACTATACATACAGATTTTGCTATTTGCCGAGTATTTGTTAGTGAATAAGACAGACACAATTCCTTCCCTCACAAACTTTATAGTCTAGTGGGAGAAAGAAAACAAATAATAATACTAAACATGTAATTACAAGTTGTACTAAGTACTATAAAGTAAAAATGACAAGGCTTCATGAATAAAATGGATGGGTGATTAGTTTAAACCAGGAAAGGTTCAAGGAAAGCTCTTCTAGGGAAGTGTCATTTAGGCTCAGATCTATAAGTGAGGTAGTAAATTCTTCAGAGTAGACAAAACAGTAGATGCTAAGGCCTTGATCTGGCAGGAAGTATCATAACCACAAGTGTTCTTTTTATTGTCATCTTTTTATTTAATGTAGTTTACTACATTTTACATTTATAATGTATTTTTAATGTAATTTTTAAAGTTGCAAGTATAATACAGAACTTTAAATACCCTTTTCCAGAGTCATCATTCATTTACATTTGCCTTACTTTTACACATATGTAATATATAAATGTAGTTTTCATATCTATGAAATTTTTCCCAACCTTTTTATTACTACATACACTTTAGTGTATAGTTGCTAAGGACATTAACTTCCATACATAGCCAGTACAATCATAAAAACTGGGACATTTTACAGTCATATAATACTATTATGTAATCAATAGTTCATATTCAGATCTTGTTAATTATCTCCAAAATGTTCTTTATATTTTCTCCCATTCAGGAGCCAATAATGATGCAACATTTCAGAAAAGTGTATAAGGATAGTTTGTCTTAAAATCGATGCTGTTAACTTTAGTCACTTGACTAACATGGTGTCCCCCAGATCTCATTATGCCTTTTTCCTGAGAAATTAATAAGTAATTTGTGGCAGACAGCATAACTATGTAAATGTCTTAAACTTTCACCCACTAATTTTAACATCTATTAATAATTCTCCAATCCTAGTATGCCCTCTATATTTATTAACTGATGTGCCATTAAGAGTTTTCCCTTTTCCCCCTTCATGTATTCATTTTTTATATTTTTATCAGTATATACTCATAAATTTCTATTTTATATCGCTATTTTACCTTTTTTTATTATTACAGTTTTTCTGGGGTACATGTGCAGGATGTGAAGGTTTGTTACATAGGTATACATGTGCCATGGTGGTTTGCTGCACCCACCAACCTGTCATCTACATTAGGTATTTCTCCTAATGCTATCCCTCCCCCAGTCCTCCATCCCTGACAGGCCCCAGTGTGGGATGTTCCTCTCCCTGTTCCATGTGTTCTCATTGTTTAACTCCCACTTATGAGTGAGAACATGCAGTGTTTGGTTTTCTGTTCTTGGGTTAGTTTGCTGAGAATGATAGTTTCATTAACTAGATTAACTGTGTAGTAAGAATTTATCATTCACTTTTCACTTCCACACCAGCAGGATGATGTAAGGAAACTAATACCATCAGAAAGGATCATGTTTTAAAATTAAAGCTATAATAGGGAAAAAAAATATATATATATATACTGTATCCCTACATAAAGCTGAGGGTTACCGAGAATAAGTCAAATGTATTCATTAATGTCAATAATGAATTGGGTGGGAGTGGATTCAGACAGAAAAGAAATAAAAACAAAGGGTATACGTATATCAAATCATCACACTGCACACCTTGAATATATACAATCTTTATTGTCAATTAAATATTGTTTTAAAAAATAAAGGACCAGAAGCTGAATATAGTTATAGAATGCAGCAAATGATGAAAACAAAAGTGGGAGCAAAGAACAAGCCTGAGATGATCAGTGTGAACTTGGCTAGAAGGATTCCAGATTGCTAGATCTGCTGCTAATTGTGAACCATGGGTGAAAAAAGCAATTACTTTAAAAACAAGCCCATGGCCAAAAGTTTTCAGGACCCATATTTTCAAAATTCCAGATTCCATGATTTTTAATCATGTTTTAATAACATTAATGTATGTTAATATCTTCTTGACACAATGTTTTTATGGTTTAAATAAAATGAGGAACTTTAATGTAGTCAATGGAAGGTAAAAAGTCTATACTGTGTTGGGTTATTGTGGAAGAAATTATTGAAGACTTCTTTTGTCTGTATGTGGAACTAGGATTATGATGGCTCTATGGTAGCAGAAATCTAAAGAAATAATATCTTGAGAAAAACTATAAATAAAAGAAAATTAGATCTTGGCACCTAAAATAATAATCTTAATTTCCTCCTTGTGATCCAAGGAAATTTTTATAAAATTGTTAAGGCAGATTCAGTTTCCTTGGCTTCTCTCAGACCTGAGTCCATTATAAATAACAGGTGCCAAAATTTATCATTTCATTTTATTATGGCAAGGAAGTTAGAGGGAAGCATACCCACTAAGGAATTGCTATAATGACCCTTACCAAGAAATTTCAACTCTATTATCTGTACAGAGAACAAAGTTTCACAGCTTTATAGAGTGAGTGGCAACCCTATAAAGTACTTTTTTTAAAGTACCTTTAGAACAAGATCGTGTCCTTTGCAGGGACATGGATGGAGCTGGAAGCCATTATGCAGGAACCATTATGCAGAAAACCAAACCCTGCATGTTTTCACTCATGGAATGATGAGCTGAGCAATGAGAAAACATGGATACAGGGAGGAGAACAACACACAGTGGGGCCTGTCTGGGGGTGGAGAGGGGAGGGAGAACATCAGGAAAAATAGCTAATGCATGCTGGGCTTAATACATACGTGATGGGTTGATAGATGCAGCAAACCACCATGGCACACGTTTACTTATGTAACAAACCTGCACATCCCACACATGTATCCCAGAACTTAAATAAAATAAAATAAATTTTTTAAAGTACCTTCCTTACCTCTAAAGAGTAAGTAGGTTTTCATATTTGAAAATATTTGGGGTGTGCTCTGAGGGAGGGCCTGGGCCACCCACCTTTGCTGGAGGAGCCCTTCAGGCCATAATAAGCATGAATAATGTCTTTCCTCTTTGAGTGGATCTACAATGGCTTCAGCAGTGTGCTCCAGTTCCTAGGACTCTACAAGAAATTTGGAAAACTTGTATTTTTCGGTTTGGACAACGCAGGCAAAACCACTCTTCTTCACATGCTCAAAGATGACAGATTGGGTCAACATGTTCCAACACTACATCCGACATCAGAAAAGCTATTAATTGCTGGAATGACTTTTACAACTCTTGATCTTGGTGGACACAAGCAAGCATGTCAGGTTTGAAAAAATTATCTCCAAGCAATTAATGAGATTGTTTTTCTGGTGGATTCTGCAGATCATTCTGGCCTCATGGAATCTAAAGTTGAGCTTAATGCTTTAATGACTGATGAAATAATATCCAATGTGCCAATCCTTATATTGGGTAACAAAATAGACAGAACAATGCAATAAGTGAAGAAAAACTCTTTGAGATATTTGGGCTTTCTGGACAGACCACAGGAAAGAGGAACATGGCCCTTTAGGAGCTGAACGCTCACCCCACTGAAGTGTTCATGTGCAGTGTGCTCAAGAGGCAAGGCTAGGGCGAGGGATTCTGCTGGCTCTCCCAATGTATTGACTGATGTTTGGACAGAGAAAATAAGAGTTTTTCTCCTCTGGACTGATCCTGTTCACAGCTTCTTCATGGACTTTTCTAATAGAACAATGAAAGGTCTCCAATCATGTCTAGCATTGAGAAGCCAAGAGTCACTGTCTACTCTCATCACCCAGTGGTGAAATGTTCTCTTCTCCACACTGTTGGGGAGGTAATGCTGCCCCATGTGCTGGTGCAGGTCAGTATCCTGGGGCTTGGAAGCTGGCAGGGGTTGCTGAGTAAAGCTGTGTGCCATTATGGGGCACCTGAAAAGAAAAACACATCTCACCACTCTGGTTGATTTCAAAAGAAAGTGATTCTATTTTTAAAGAAAGTGTTGTTAATATAATTGATACCCCTTCTAACTTTTCGAGTTCAAAATTTACTTAGTCCAGAGTTTTCTATTCTTTTTTAAACTAATGAATGACATTTAGATACTTCATAAAATTATGAACAGATACACATTGGAGGCCAGAGCTCATTTGGGTAAACTCACTCCTGCTGAGTTAGCAGGTTGGTGAGAGAAGCTCCCCTGAGCTCACCTGTCTCTCTAACTGCCTTGGAGAAGGTGGCATTACCTTGTGAACAGAGAACCAGAAAAGGGGCAGAATCCTGGCCTTGTAATTGCGGCAGGTTTCCACTGTGGTAAGCTAGGGTCATTCCTTCTCAAGGAATGTGTAGCAGATCATTCACTATTGAGCAGTTAATTATAGTGTAAGTTACTGTTATTATTCTTATTTATAAAGTTATAGGTTTCATCCAGTCTTTACTTTTATACTTTGGTGAAATTTTATTTCCCTCTATAGCACCTTCCTTTTTCATTTTCAGTTATAAAAAGTAACTTTCACCTCATGAAAAAGTTGAGAACATCTCTTATGTTGTCACATACTGCAGGTGTGTCAGTTACTTTTGCACAGATTCTAGAGGAAAATTTTTCTGAATAGGAAGACAGGACAAAGTTAACAGCTTAAGGGCTCTTAATTCTGGGAGTTGAGGACTTAAATGTATTGTAGCACTTGTCTGAATGCAGGAAAAATTTACTCACTGGGCTTTAAAATTTCCATTTGCAGAATTTGGTCTCTATTGGATTTTTCCTGAGCTCTTTGTCTTACATCTTATCTCCTTAGATATCTACGTTGCTGTGTTTAAAGTAAAGGTTAACATCTGTAGCTTTTCCAGGTGTGTTTGTGTGGATTTTTTTAATATGAAATTGCCTTTCCCCATTGTAGAAATAAGCTGGGGGGAAACACTAACTCAAAAACTTTCTGTAGAGCTGTTCCTTTGGAAGCAGCATCACTTATTGGCAGTAAAGACTCAGGATAAAAGCAACAGCATCCCTACCACGGTGATGAGGATTGATTTTATAGCATTCCATTTTCTTAGTGTCACATGTGAAATTGGTTTTTTATGATCTTAACCTAAATTCTACCCTTGTAGTAAAAGATCAAAAGATAAGATCTCCTAGGAAAAGACAGGAGATAGGAGATGAAAAGTTAGGAGGATATCTTTATTCTAATGTGAGGGTAGGGAAAATGTGGATAACATATTATTGGGGAGAGAGTATAGTTATTTAGTTGGAGTTCTCAGTCTTCAGTACTGACTTGTTCGGGAAACATACTTTTTCACTGCCAGGTACTGAATGCAGAGGCTCAGTGAAGTATATTTCCGGGAAGTGCATGCATTTCATTTATTAGCAAGCATAGCTGGATTAAGATAAAATTGTTTGGAAAGGGGTTAAAGCCTTAACTGAACAAATCTAGCTAACAGTGAATGAACTAGATAGTTAACTTGCATTTTTTTTAAATTTTCCTTTGGTTAAAGGTTCCCCATACTTCTCTTATCAGAGACATGAGAAGTATGATTGCTTCCATGTTGGTTTTCTTACTTTTAGTTTCGGATTTTTTTTCCCTATTTGTCCCTAGTAACTTTGTTGCAAGCTAGAAAACTGTCGGTTCTACGTAGGGCAGCTGCTGTGAGGAGCTCAGCTCTAAACACAGGATCAGCGCCTTGTACAGGAATTCTCATGAATTAAGATGTTTCATTCTGTTTTATCAGAGTGCATGTATGTCCTATTTCAGAAAAAGTAAAACAGTCATTTACAAAAGAAAGTCAATCTGTATCCTAAGCATTTTAATTAAAAGTTAAAGCATAAATAAATAAATAAACAATAAATCAAAAGATTTGGGATCCTTTCAATCAAATAAATAACTATTAAAGACCTCTGATATGACATAAAACCACTGAATACAGAAAGAACATTCAATCTTTATCCCCAATTAACACTGAATTCTGATGGAAGAAAAAGATTAATGTTCTTTTTTGCAAGAAAAGAGGGTACCCCTAAAAAATATCAACACTGATTTAGGCAACTGTTGCATATGAGTAGAAATGATCTATTTAGCTTGATTGATTTAATCTTTTTATACAACCACATGCATGTTGTGATCTCCTTATGAAAATTTGCATACTAAAAAAACTATTTTAAAAAAGGCTACTGTGGGCACACTGCCTATAGGATAGCCCTGCTAGGCAAGGAGCAGTTAAAAAAAGTATAAATAAATTGACACCTATTAATACTAATACTAATCATTATAATTTAAAACATTGAAACATGTTTTTGAAAAATAATCTATGGTACTGTTTGCATTTGTGAGCATTTCCACTGATTAAAAACATATGTGTACTGATATTAAAATCTAGAAATCATTAACATCAGATTCAAGGCAAGGGATCTGAGTAATGTAGGGAAATAAAATGGTAGAAAAAACAACCCTTCTAAGACTTCTTATGGGAATATAAGGACATGGTTAATATTTGGATACAAAGAAAAATTAACTATCAGATATAGACTTAAAATCAAACAGGGAACTTTATTTCATGAAAAATAACCAACCCAACATTGAGTATTGGACTTAATAAAGCGTGTTCACACATATGGTGCTAATTAATCTCCACAACGGAGCAAGATAGATAAAGAAGTTTCTGAATATTTAAGCAAGACCTAAAATGTACATGTATTAGTAATTGGGAAGTGGACTAAATCTAGATTTTCTAATATCATTCTTGTTTCTTTTCTACTATGCCAGTATTGTCCAAATTTTTTACCATTACCTATAGTAAGGAATATATTGTACATCAGAATCCAGGTCATACAAACACATATATAAAATGAGTGATGAGAATAAGTAAAATAAATCAATAAAATAGTATATAACTGCGTAATAGATTACAACTCACAGTGTGAAAAGCACTAACATACATCATACTGTATAACTGCTGATACTTTAATGACCTTATATCACTTGGCTGTGCAATGAATTATCTTGTCTTGTAAGTACTGAACGTGTTGCAAGGAACCATTTCCTTTCAGCTGTGTGCTTCCTTTTATGACAAAAGTTTTATGTTGGCGATCGTCATTCCAGGATTTGGGAAGAAGAGGTAAGGAATAGCACTATGTTGTTTCTATGCAAATCAGACTGATCCACGTGGAGCTCAGTGAGTTCTGAACTCACCTACATCAACTCACAAATTGAACCAGAACATGACCAGGGCCAACAGATTTTGGATGAAAGAAATTAACACGTGTTAGTTAGCATGGGTAGTTCTTGGGCATTCTTTAAAATTATTCATTTCTCCATCTGATTCATTTTTCTAATATAAGATTAATTATGTTTCCCATTACTTAATCATTATTCTGTAAAAGTTTGCTATATTGCATTTCTTGGGTAAGATACAGAGATTTGTTGATCTTCCTTTTAGAGGCACTAGAAAGGTAACATTTTGGCCTTTAGATAAAATTTTTCATGCTTACAAGTGTCAAATCACATCAGTTTAGTTACATCACAGAGAAAACCCCTTCATAACTCAGTTTATTTTACTTAACTGAATAAGTGGAGTATCAGAAAAATTCAATACTAAAGTAGCCTTTCCTTTCCCTCAAATCCACCAACAAGAGCAATGACAGGAATCTGGGCAATGCAATTGCTCGAAAGATCTTCATTCTCTGGGGTTTCTTTGACCACCCCTAGCCGGAAATGTTTCTCTTCATAATGGGGCTTGTTGCTTATCTCTGCATACTGGTGGACAACATCTCAATTATTGTGGTACCCAGGGGATATTTTAGGGGAGCACCAAATGCATCATTTTAGCTGTGACGTCTTTGGATCCTTACATTGCCATCTGCAAACACTTGAGGTACCCAGCTATCATGCATCAGCAACTCTGTGTCCTCCTAGTGGCCATGGCATGGCTAAGCAGTTTGGCCAACTCTACTTCAGTCATCCCTTGCCGTCCAGCTGCCACTAGGCGGTAACAAGGTGGACGACTTTCTGTGTGAGGTCTCAGCGATGATCAAGATATCACGTTTTGACACCACATTCAATGTATCTATGCTCTCCATTGTGAGGATATTTTAGTCCCTCGTTCTCTAATCAATTATCTTTGCTTACTGTGGATTCATTGTAGCTACTGTGCTGAGGATTCAGTCCTCAGGGGGAAAGAAGGAGGTCTTCAACACATGTGGTTCTCATATTGTATCTCTCCTCTATGGGCCTGTAATTAGCATGTATGTACAGCCCTCTGCCAACTCCCAGGACAAAAACAAATTCATGTCCCTGTTCTACAGTTTGGTGACTCCTATGCTTAACCCTTTTATCTACACTTTGAGCAACAGGGACATAAAAGGGGCAATGAGGAGGCTTCTTGTCTTTTTGTATCACCAGGAAGAGAACAAAAGTAATTATTTTTATACTCCACATTCTTCATATACAGGTCAGAAGATCTCCTGTTCTAAAATTACATGTTGATTTAACCTCCTCCAAAATTGTTAGCATTCTTTACTACCCACCCTGTCTACATATATGCTTTTGTACCACACAATGGGGTTTGTTGGATATCATTTCAAGTGTGAATCCTAATCCTCAGATTGTCTGCAATTTGCATGGTAGTGAGAACTATGTCCTTATATTCCTTTGTATTTATCTAGAAATATCCATAGGCATCTAAAAAGTGGGCAATAAATAAATGTTAATAGACTGACTCATTTACTCAGAGCAAAAATCAAGTCCTATCATTTTATGTGTTACTTTGAAAAATATATATGAGTAATATAGACTGCAGTTTACCTTCTTGTTATTATGAATGTGATTTAAAGGCTAATCTTTTATTTGCAAATTAACTTTTTATGGATTGCCAGCAAGATCAAATAGGTTAATATCTCATATTCCATAACTGACCCTCTCAACCACAAATTCACTGATCCTTTACAAATAAAATAATTCAAAAATAATATCTGACTCTTTCCTATCGATCTTAATGGGATTTCTTCCTTCTGAGGTATTTGACTGAAGTAATTATTTCTAGGTTATCAGATGGAGAAGTTAAAATCTTCAGAAATTTCTATGTTGTCTCTTAATATTGAGAGCCACTCACCCTTCAATGGGAAGACAACCTACCTAGAATGAGAAAATTAGATGTATTTGGTAGGTAACCGAAGGATTAAATCGTCTCATCATTTAAAATCAGAATATTCAGCAGAAGGAAAATGGAAAAAGAAGGTAGAGCACAACCTGGGGCAAATATAAAATAAACTAGCTATCAGACCGTCAATTTTGAGATAGAGGTGACAAAGTAGAAAGTTGGATAATGATGTAAGAAGGCAGTGTTCTGTTGACTTTATCCATAACATCAACTCTCCTCATTATAAATCCATAATTTTTCTTATACTTCCTCTGCTCCCCTGTCTTTCAACTTGTGTTTAAGAAAAACATTTGTTTTTCTAACAACTACATACATTCATTTGAGGCCTTCACACATCTGCCCATCCTTCATGTATTTCCACTGTGCTCTTCTGAATGACAAGAACAAAATCTATTAACACACAATGTGCAAACCGCTGATAAAGAAATATTATATATTATAGTTTTGCCATTGTTGGAGACAAGGAAACATCACTCTTTTGGAGGAAAGTTGACTCCCTGGCATACCAACATGTCTGTAAGGACTAGGCCTGATTTCACTGTGTACCTCTCCTTCATAGTACTGACCTGTATTGAGAGAATGGGCTCTAAATAAGTATTTTTTAAATAAATGAATGAATGATAAGTATTACCCACTGTCCTAATTACCTACTATTAAAACCTATATAACAGAATCATGCAAAAATGTGTCATATACTAAACAATGAGTGTAGCAAAAGAGGTTTGTAGCTGAATGTTTTTTTAAATTTTTTATCTCCATAGGTTTTTAGGTAACAGGTGGTATTTGGTTACATAAGTTCTTTAGTGGTGATTTGTGAGATTTTGGTGCACCCACCACCTGAGCAGTATACACTGAACTCAATTTGTAGTCTTTTATCCCTCCCTCCCCTCCTACCCTTTCCCCCACCCAGTCCCCAAAGTCCATTGTATCATTCTTATGCCTTTGCATCCTCATTGCTTCGCTCCCTCTTATGAGCAAGAACATACAATATTTGGTTTTCCATTCCTGAGTTACTTCATTTAGAATAATAGTCTCCAATCCCATCTAGGTTGTTGTGAATGCCATTAATTCATTCCTTTTTATGGCTGAGTAGTATTCCATTGTGTGTATATATATATATATATATATATATACCACAGTTTCTTTATCTATTCGTTGATTGATGGGCATTTGGACTGGTTCCACATTTTTGCAATTGCAAATTGTGCTGCTATAAACATGCATGTGCAAGTATATTTTTCGTATAATGACTTCTTTTCCTCTGAGTAGATACCCAGTAAGGGGATTGCTGGATCAAATGGTAGTTCCACTTTTAGTTCTTTAAGGAATCTCAACACTGTTTTCCATAGTGGTTGTACTAGTTTACATTCCCATCGGCAGTGTAGAAGTGTTCCCTTTCACCACATCCATGCCAATATATATTTTTTAAAAATTTTTTATAATGGTCATTCTTGCAGGAGTAAGGTTGGTATCTCATGGCAGTTTTGATTTGCATTTCTCTGATCATTAGTGATGTTGAGCATTTATTCATATGTTTGCTGGCCATTTGTATATCTTCTTTTGAGAATTGTCTATTCATGTCCTTAGCCCACTTATTGATGGGATTGTTTGATTTTTTCTTGCTAATTTGTCTGAGTTCCTTGTAAATACTGGATTATTAGTCCTTTGTCAGATGTACAGATTGTATAGATTGTGAAAAATTTTCTCCCACTTTGTGAGTAATCTACTCTGCTGACTGTTCTTTTGCTGTGCCAAAGCTCTTTAGTTTCATTAAACCCCACCTATTTATCTTGGATTTTGTTGCATTTGCTTTTGGGTTCTTGGTCAGAAATCTTTGCCTGAGCCAATGTCTAGAAGGTTTTTTTCAATGTTATCTTCTAGAATTTTTATAGTTTCAGGTCTTAGGTCTTAGATTTAAGTCTTTGATCCATCTTTTTTTTTTTTTTTTTAGACAGAGTCTTGCTCTGTCCCCCAGGCTAGAGTGCAGTGGCTCAATACCAGCTCACTGCAAGCTCTGCTGCCTGGGTTCACGCCATTCTCCTGCCTCAGCCTCCCGAGTAGCTGGGACTACAGGCGCCCGCTGCCATGCCCAGCTAATTTTTTGTATTTTTAGTAGAGACGGGGTTTCACCATGTTAGCCAGAATGGTCTTGATCTCCTGACCTCGTGATCCACCTGCCTCGGCTTCCCAAAGTGCTGGGATTACAGGCGTGAGCCACCGCACTCAGCTTTGATCCATCTTGAGTTGATTTTTGTATAAGGTGAGAGATGAGGATCCTGGTTCATTATCCTACATATGGCTTGCCAATTATCCCAGCAACATCTGTTGAATAGCATGTCCTCTCCCCACTTTATGTTTCTGTTTGCTTTGTCAAAGATCAGTTGGTTATAAGTATTTGGTTTTATTTCTTGGTTCTCTATTCTGTTCCATGGGTCTATGTGCCTACTTTTATACCCATACCATGCTGTTTTGGTGACTATGGCCTTATAGTATAGTTTCAAATCAGGTAATGTGATGCCTCCAGATTTGTTCTTTTTGCTTAGTCTTGCTTTGGCTATGTGGGCTCTTTTTTGGTTCCACATGAATTTTAGGATTGTTTTTTCTAGTTCTATGAAGAATGATGGGGTTGGGTCATATGTTGAGTTTATTTTAAGCTTTATAAGAAACTGCCAAGTGGTTCCTCAAAGTGATTTTAACATTTTGCATTCTCATCAGTAATAAATAAGAGTTCCCCTTGTTCTGCATTTTTTTTCTAGCATTCACTATTGTCAGGGTTTTTTTTTTTTAGCCAATAGAACATTATGTGGGAATTTTTCTGTCTTGTTGCCTAATATTTAATATTTATAGTTTCATAATATTTAAATTTTATTTACTTATTTTCATAATATTTAATATTTAATTATTTCATAATATTTAAATTTTGCTTCCTGGCCTGCAAAACCTGAACTATTTTCCATCTGGCTCTTGTGGGGAAAATTAGCTGATCTCTGGTCTTTCATATGGATTTTCCTAACTCATTGAACCTCATTGAGGTTCAACTGAACTATAAGTCAATAACTATAAGCTTTTTAAATATGGGAAATAGTGAGTCTTTGATAGGAACAAGTAATTTTTTCCAATTTTTCTTTAAGAATTTTGGCCTATGTACACAAGACAGGGATGCCCTCTCTCACCACTCCTATTCAACATAGTGTTGGAAGTTCTGGCCAGGGCAATCAGGCAGGAGAAAGAAATAAAGGGTATTCAATTAGAAAAAGAGGAAGTCAAAGTGCCCCTGCTTGCAGATGACATGATTGTATATCTAGAAAACCCCATCGTCTCAGCCCAAAATCTCCTTAAGCTGATAAGCAACTTCAGCAAAGTCTCAGGATACAAAATCAATGTGCAAAAATCACAAGTATTCTTATACACCAATAACAGACAAACAGAGAGCCAAATCATGAGTGAACTCCCATTCACAATTGCTTCAAAGAGAATAAAATACCTAGGAATCCAACTTACAAGGGATGTGAAGGACCTCTTCAAGGAGAACTACAGACCACTGCTCAATGAAATAAAAGAGGATACAAATGGAAGAACATTCCATGCTCATGTGTAGGGAGAATCAATATTGTGAAAATGGCCATACTGCCAAAGGTAATTTATAGATTCAGCGCCATCCCCATCAAGCTACCAATGACTTTCTTCACAGAATTGGAAAAAAGTACTTTAAAGTTCATATGGAACCAAAAAAGAGCCCACATTGCCAAGTCAATCCTAAGCCAAAAGAACAAAGCTGGAGGCATCACACTACCTGACTTCAAACTATACTACAAGGCTACAGTAACCAAAACAGCATGGTACTGGTACCAAAACAGAGATATAGACCAATGGAACAGAACAGAGCCCTCAGAAATAACGCCACATATCTACAGCTATCTAATCTTTGACAAATCTGACAAAAATAAGCAATGGGGAAAGGATTCCCTATTTAATAAATGGTGCTGGGAAAACTGGCTAGCCATATGGAGAAAGCTGAAACTGGATCCCTTCCTTACACCTTATACAAAAATTAATTCAAGATGGATTAAAGACTTCAATGTTAGACCTAAAACCAGAAAAACCCTAGAACAAAACCTAGGCAATACCATTCAGGACATAGGCATGGGCAAGGACTTCATGTCTAAAACACCAAAAGCAATGGCAACAAAAGCCAAAATTGACAAATGGGATCTAATTAAACTAAAGAGCTTCTGCACAGCAAAAGAAACTACCATCAGAGTCAATAGGCAACCTACAGAATGGGAGAAAATTTTTGCAACCTACTCATCTGACAAAGGGCTAATATCCAGAATCTAAAATGAACTCAAACAAATTTACAAGAAAAAAACAAACAACCCCATCAAAAAGTGAGTGAAGGACATGAACAGACACTTCTCAAAACAAGACATTTATGCAGCCAAAAGACACATGAAAAAATGCTCATCATCACTGGCCATCAGAGAAACGCAAATCAAAACCACAGTGAGATACCATTTCACACCAGTTAGAATGACGATCATTAAAAAGTCAGGAAACAGGCCGGGCGCGGTGGCTCACGCCTGTAATCCCAGCACTTTGGGAGGCCGAGGCGGGCGGATCACGAGGTCAGGAGATCGAGACCCCGTCTCTACTAAAAATACAAAAAATTAGCCGGGCGTGGTAGCGGGCGCCTGTAGTCCCAGCTACTCGGGAGGCTGAGGCAGGAGAATGGCATGAACCCGGGAGGCGGAGCTTGCAGTGAGCCGAGATCGCGCCACTGCACTCCAGCCTGGGCGACAGAGCGAGACTCCGTCTCAAAAAAAAAAAAAAAAAAAAAAAAAAAAAAAGTCAGGAAACAACAGGTGCTGGAGAGGATGTGGAGAAATAGGAACACTTTTACACTGTTGGTGGGACTGTAAACTAGTTCAACCATTGTGGAAGTTGGTGTGGCGATTCCTCAGGCATCTAGAACTAGAAATACCATTTGACCCAGCTATCCCATTACTGAGTATATACCCAAAGGATTATAAATCATGCTGCTGTAAAGACACATGCACATGCATGTTTATTGCAGTACTATTCACAATAGCAAAGACTTGGAACCAACCCAAATGTCCAACAATGATAGACTGGATTAAGAAAATATGGCACATATACACCATGGAATACTATGCAGCCATAAAAAATGATGAGTTCATTTCCTTTGTAGGGACATGGATGAAGCTGGAAACCATCATTCTCAGCAAACTATCACAAGGACAAAAAACCAAACACCGCATGTTCTCACTCATAGGTGGGAATTGAACAATGAGAACACATGGTCACAGGAAGGGGAACATCACGTGCCAGGGCCTGTTGTGGGGTGGGGGGAGGGGGGAGGGATAGCGTTAGGAGTTATATCTAATGTTAAATGACGAGTTACTGGGTGCAGCACACCAACATGGCACATGTATACATATGTAACAGACCTGCACGTTGTGCACATGTACTCTAAAACTTAAAGTATAATAAATAAAAAAAGAAGTTTGGCCTATGTATAACTATGATATATCAATTTTTAAATGCAAGACAAAGACAGACATTTTCTGTAGGTATCTGTTACTTAATGAGCATGGCTGATCTTTTTAGTTGCCTTTAAAATGTTCTGTATTTAATTAATTCATTCTAATATAAATATTCTGTGAATCTTTATTGTATTTTCTCAATACAATTTAGAACTTTAACTTTCTGAGGAAGGTTTTGAACCTCACTTTTCAATTGAATTTCCTGACGGTCAAATTGCTTAACCCATTCTGAATACTTTTACTGTAATTTTTACAGGCTTTAATGACAAGAGGCTTGAGGAAAGGGAGCCTGTTTTGCCCTTTACACCGGACACACAGAAGGCACCATCCATAAGAAATGAATGCTTACCAGGTAATGAAATTTGCTGGTACCTTGATCTTGAACTTCCCAGCCTCCAGAACTGTAAGCAATAAATTTATGTTGTTTACATAAAAAAGAAAATAAAAATACATGAAGAAGAATTACCCAGTGTTTCTCTCACATCCTTTACAGACTTCTAAACAATACAAACTCTTTAAATTGTAAACGAACTTGGAAAATTTTTACATCATCTTAAACAATTACGTATATCAGTTAAAAACAAATAAAGCCTTTAATAATGTGTTCAAATAATTTAATTTATATTTTGTTTCTTCCTCCATCAAAAGTCTTTACAGAAGCATAAATCAATTTCCTCAAAGCCCCTTTTGACTGATGATTGACTGGTACTTACTTTCTGATTGCTTCATTCTCCCCAATTCTAAGTCCCTGAGTCCCTGACATCAATTTAACTTCTCCAAGTGCAGTAGAAAATATTCATCAAGTGTTTCAATATTTGCTCTGACCTTACTTATAATTTAGCACTTGTTACAATAATTTACATATCTTTTCAGTTCACTGTTTGCTCAGTTGGTCATCCCATTCTTGAGCTTTTTTGCGTGTAGTTTATGCTTTCCTGGACATTGCAATGCTCATTTTAGCCATATTTTGTTGCTATCTTAACTTGCTGGCTTTTTTTACTCTTCTGACATATATTTATGGTTATTTCGCATCCACTTTTTGGGATTAAAAGGACCTGAACACATCTTCTACTGGCTGAACTCCAGTTCCAAAGCTAGCCATCACCTTAACTCAATGTGAACATTAAGACTTTCTTCCTTTTGATTCTTTTCTGAAAGTATCTATTTTAAACTCAAATTTGATATAGACTTGGACCACGTGGTATCTTCTTCTCAAGGCTGCACTCCATTAAAGGTAATTTAAGTGTTCACATTATTTTTTAATCAGCCTAATTTATCAACAACTTTACATTTTTCTCCAACTAAAGCATAAATTCTATGGCAAACTCTTTCTTCCTATTTATATAAACCTGGCTTTCAACTATTAAGAAACACAAATATAGCTGCACTTACCACTATGTTCCAATGTTAAGCCACAGAGATCTGGCATGATTCTCATGTCTTCTGGCAACACTGACATGGCCTCACTTAGCTTCTCCAGGATTTGTATAAAATAAAACTTCATATCAGCAAGTGCACCCTCCATAGTACCAAATCTACCTCAGGCTTCCAGGGCACCCAATTCCATTCTGCCTGGAACCTAAATCAGCCACCTGGGAACAAAGAAAGACCATAAGTCTGGCAGCAATGGGGGAAGAGAGAGTTTTCCAAATATTTTCACATCATAGCACACATAACATGGAATGTATAAGGCTGTTCTTGATTAAAGAAGACTGGCCACTGCTAGTGTGCTCCTCCTAGGCCTCACACAACAACCCCAAAGTCTAAGAGGATTAATGTCTTTTCACATATGTAAAATTCAGAGAACACTGTTTAAGAGGCTTGACAGCTAAGAACTTACATACCATCATCAATACTCAATGTTGCCTTAATGTAAACATATTTTTCTGACATCCAGTAAACCTAATCTTTAAAAAACTAAAAACAAAGATTCTTCCTTTCAGGAAAACACTTCTGCCTTGCTTTCTTTAGATTATGAGAGTAGGCATTGGAGAATTGAATTCTCACTGTCATTCACTTATTAATCTGAATTGCAAGCATAAAAACTCATGAAAGGACCAGGCATGGTGGCTTATACCTCTAATCCCAGCACTTTGGGAAGCCAAGGCAGGAGAATTGCTTCAGCCCAGAAGTTCAAGACCAACTTGGGCTATGTAGTGAGACACCTATCCTACAGAAATTTAAAAATTAGCCAAGTGTGGTGGTGCATGCTCATAGTTCCATAGTTCCAGCTATTCAGGGGGCTGAGGCAGGATTCCCGGAGACCAGAAGGTCAAGTCTGCAGTGAGCCATGATCACACCACTGCACTCTAGTCTGGGTGACAGAGCAAGACCCTGCCAAAAAAAAAAAAAAAAACACCTCAGGAAGAATTCTGGTACTTTGAGATTGGAAAAGAATTTGAAAAACATTCAACATTTCTTCATAAGAAATGTCTCAACAAATTGGTTATAAGGAATGTATGACAACACAATAAAGACCATGTATGACAACCCCACAGCTGAGACCATCAATTTGAAAGTTTTCCCTCTCAGATCAGAAACAAAGCAAAGATGCCCACTCTCACCACTTCTATTCAACCTAGTACTGGAAGTTATAGCCATGGCAATTAGGCAAGAGAAAGAAATTAAAAGCATACAAATCGGAATGAACAAAAGAGAGAGAGAAAGAAAGAGAGAGAGAAAGGGAGGGAGGGAGGAAGGAAAGAAATGGTCTTTGTATACTGATTACCTATTGTTATATATAGAAACCCCAAATATTACACCAAAAACTGTTAAAACTAATGAACTAGTTCAGGATATAAATCAACATAAAAAAATCAGTACTGTTTTTGCAGTATTGTAAAGACTATTGACATTATGAAGAAACTGCATCAACTAACAGGCAAAATAACCAGCTAGCATCATAATGACATGATCAAATTCACACATAACAATATTAACCTTAAATATAAATGGGCTAAATGCTCCAATTAAAAGACACATACTGATAAATTGGATAAAGAGTCAAGACCCATCAGTGTGCTGTATTCAGGAGACCCATCTCATGTGCAAAGACACACACAGGCTCAAAATAAAGGGATGGAGGAATATTTACCAAGCAAATGGAAAGCCAAAAAAAAAAAAAAGCAGCAGTAGCAATCCTAGTCTCTGATAAAACAGACTTTAAATCAAAAAAGACAAAGAAGGGAATTACATAACGGTAAAGGGATCAGTGCAACGAGAAGAGCTAACTATCCTAAATATATACGCACCCAATACAAGTGCACCCAGTTTCATAAAGCAAGTTCTTAGAGACCTACAAAGAGACTCAGACTCCTGCACAATAATAGTGGGAGACTTTAACACCCCACTGTCAATATTAGACAGATCAGTGAGACAGAAAATTAATAAGGATATTCAGAACTTGAACTCAGCTCTGGACCAAGCAGACCTAATAGACATCTACAGAACTCTTCACCCCTAATCAGCAGAATATGCATTCTTCTCAGAACCACATTACACTTAATCTAAAATTGGCCACATAATTGGGAGTAAGACACTCCTCAGCAAATGCAAAAGAGAAATCATACAAAACAGTCTCTCAGACCACAGTGCAATCAAATTAGAACTCAAGATTAAGAAACTCACTCAAAACTACACAACTACATGGAAACTGAACAACCTGCTCCTGAATGACTACTGGGTAAATAACAAAATTAAGGCAGAAATAAAGAAGTTCTTTGAAACCAATGAGAACAAAGACACAATGTACTAGAATCTCTGGGACACAGCTAGAGCAGTGTTTAGAGGAAAATTTATAGCACTGAATGCCAACATCAGAAAGAGGAAAAGATCTAAAACTGACACCTTAACATCACAATTAGAAGAACTAGAGAAGCAAGAGCAAACAAATTCAAAAGCTAGCAGAAGACAAGAAATAACTAAAATCAGAGCAAAATTGAAGGAGATACAGACACAAAAAACCCTTCAAAAAGTCAATGAATCCATGAAATGCTTTATGAAAAGGGAGAAAAGAGAGAAGAATCAGACACAACAAAAAACGATAAAGAGATATCACCACTGATCTCACAGAAATACAAACTACCATCAGAGAATATTATAAACACCACTACGCAAATAAACCAGAAAATCTAGAAGAAATTGATAAACTTCTGGACACATACACCCTCCCAAGACTAAACCAGGAAGAAGTTGAATCTCTGAATAGACCAATAACAGGCTCTGAAATTGAGGCAATAATTAGCAGCTTACCAACCAAAAAAATTCCAGGACCACACAGATTCACAGCCAAATTCTACCAGAGGTACTAAGATGACCTGGTATCATTCCTTCTGAAACTATTCCAAACTATAGAAAAAGAGGGACTCCTCCCTAACTCATTTTATGAAGTCAGCATCATCTTGATACCAAAACAGGGCAGAGACACAACAACAACAAAAAAGAAAATTTCAGGCCAATATCCCTGATGGACATTGATGTGAAAATCTTCAATAAAATACTAGCAAACAATTCAACAGCACATCAAAAAGCTTATTCACCATGAGCTAGTCAGCTTCATCCCTGGGATGTAAGGCTGGTTCAACATACACAAATCAATAAACGTAATCCATCAGATAAACAGAACCAACGACAAAAACCACATGATTATCTCAATAAATGCAGAAAAGGCCTTCAATAAAATTGAACACCCCTTCATGCTACAAACACTCAATAAACTAGGTATTGATGGAACATATTTCAAAATAATAAGAGCTGTTTATGACAAACCCACAGCCAGTATCATTCTGAATAGGCAAGAGCTGGAAGCATTTTCTTGGAAAACCAGCACAAGACAAAGATGCCCTTTCTCACCACGCCTACTCAACATAGTATTGGAAGTTCTGGCCAGGACAATCAAGCAAGAGAAAGAAATAAGGGGTATTCAGATAGGAAGAAAGGATGTCAAATTGTCTCTGTTTGCAGGTGACATGATTACATATTTAGAAAACCCCATCGTCTCAGCCCAAAATCTCCTTAAGCTGATAAGCAACTTCAGCAAACTCTCAGGATACAAAATCAACATGCAAAAATCACAAGCATTCTTATACACCAGTAATAGACAAACAAATAGCCAAATCATGAGTGAACTCTCATTCACAATTGCTACAAAGAGAATAAAATACCTAGGAGTACAATTTACAAGGGATGTGAAGGACCTCTTCAAGGAGAACTACAAACCACTGCTCAAGGAAATGAGAGAAGACACAAACAAATGGAAAAACATTCCATGTTCATGGATAGGAAGAATCAATATCGTGAAAATGGCCATACTGCCCAAAGGAATTTATAGATTCAATGCTATCCCAATCAAGCTACCATTAACTTTCTTCGCAGAATTAGAAAAACTACTTTAAATTTCACATGGCACCAAAAAAGAGCCTGTATAGCCAACACAATTCTAAGCAAAAAGAACAAAGCTGGAGGCATCACGCTATCTGACTTCAAACTATACTACAAGGCTACAGTAACCAAAACAGCATGGTACTGGTACCAAAACAAATATATAGAGCAATGGAACAGAAGAGAGGCCTCAGAAATAACACCACACATCTGCAACCATCTGATTTTGACAAACCTCACAAAAACAAGCAATGGGGAAAGGATTCCCTATTCAATAAATGGTGTTGGGAAAACTGGCTAGCCATATGCAGAAAACAGAAACTGGACCCTTCCTTACGCCTTATACAAAAATTATCTCAAGATGGATTAAAGACTTAAATGTAAGACCTAAAACCATAAAAATCCTACAAGAAAACTGGGAAATACCATTCAGGACATAGGCATGGGCAAAGACTTCATGTGTAAAACACCAAAAGCAAAGGCAACAAAAGCCAAAATCAACAAATGGGATCTAATTAAACTAAAGAACATCTGCATAGCAAAAGAAACTATCATCAGAATGAACAAGCAACCTAAAGAATGGGAGAAAATTTTTGCAATCTATCCATCTGACAAAGGGCTAATATCCAGAATCTACAAGTATCTTAAATTTACAAGAAAAAAATCAAACAACCCTATCAAAAAGTGGGCAAAGGATATAAACAGACACTTCTCAAAAGAAGACATTTATGTGCCCAACAAACATATGAAAAAAAGTTCATTATCACTGGTCATTAGAGAAATGCAAATCAAAACCATAATGAGATACCATCTCACACCAGTTAGAATGGTGATCATTAAAAAGTCAGGAAACAACAGATGCTGGAGAAGATGTGGAGAAATAGGAACACTTTTACGATGTTGGTGGGAGTGTAAATTAGTTCAACCATTGTAGAAGACAGTGTGGCGATTCCTCAAGGATCTAGAACCAGAAATACCATTTGACCCAGCAATCCCATTACTGGGTATATACCTAAAGGATTATAAATCATGCTATCCCATTACTGGGTATATACCCAAAGGATTATAAATCATGCTACTATAAAGACACATGCACACGTTTGTCTATTGCAGCACTGTTCACAATAGCAAAGACTTGGAACCAACCCAAATGCCCAACAATGATAAACTGGATAAAGAAAATGTGGTACATAAGCACCATGGAATACTATGCACCCATAAAAAATGATGAGTTCATGTCCTTTGCAGGGACATGGATGAAGCTGGAAACCATCATTCTCAGCAAACTAACGCAGGAACGGAAAATCAAACACCGCATGTTCTCACTTATAAGTTGGAGTTGAATAATGAGAACACATGGACACAGGGAGGAGAACATCACACACTGGGGCTTGTCAGTGGGTGGGAGGCTAGGAGAGGGCTAGCATTAGGAGAGACACCTAATGTAGATGATGGGTTGATCAGTGCAACAAACCACCAAGGCACATTTATACCTGTGTAACAAACCTGCATGTTCTGCACGTGTATCCTAGAACTTAATTTATATTTTTTTAAAAAAGTAGTGTTACACTAACAACAAACTATTTTTAAAAGAATCAATAAAACAATCCTATTTTCAAAACATGAAAATGCTCAGGCATAAATTAAACCAAAGAGGTGAAAGATATGTATAGTGAAATCTGTAAGGCATTGGTAAAAGAAATTGAAGACGATAAATGAAAAAATTCCTTGTTCATGGATTGGAAGAACTAAAACTGCTAAAATGTTCATACTACCCAAAATAATCAATAAATTCAATACAGTTCTTATCAAAATTCCAATGACATTTTTCGTAGAAATAGAGAAACAATCTTAAAATTTATGTGGAATCACAAAAGACTCTAAACAGACAAAGCAATCTTGAGCAAGAAGAACAAAGCTGAAGGCATTATAGTACTTAATTTGAAAATATACTACAAAGCTATGGTAATAAAAACAGTATGGTACTGGCATAAAAAGAGACACATAGACCAATACAATAGAATAAGGAACCTAGAAATAAATCCAAGTATTTACAGCCAACTGATTTTCAACAAAAGTGCCAAAAACACATAATGAGAAAAGAACAGTCTCTTTAATGAATGGTGTTTGGAAAACTGGATGTCCACCTGCAGAAGAATGAAATTAGACCCTCATCTCACACCACCTACGAAACTCAACTCAAAATTAACTAAAAGGTTAGACATAATGCCATAAACTTTAAAACTACAAGAAGAAAACATAGGGGAAAACCTCCATGACATTGGCCTGAGCAATGGTTTTTTTAGGTGATCCTCAAAGCACACGCAACAAAAATAAAGATAGACAAATAGAATTACATCAAACTAAAAAGCTTCTGCACAGAAAAGGAAACAATCAACAGAGTGAATAGACAACCCAAAGAAATATTAGTAGAAAATATTTGCAAACCATACATCTGATGTGTTTAATATGCAAAATAAATAAGGAACTCAAACAACTCAGTAGTAAGAAAACTAACAGCCCAATGAAAAATTGGACAAATGATTGAATAGACATTTCTCAAAGACATGGCCAGGTATATAAAAAATGCTCAACATCACCAATCATTAGAAAAATGCAAATTAAAACCACAGTGAGATCACCTCACACATGTTAGAATGGCTATTATCAAAAAAAATAAAAGATAATGTTGGAGAGGATGCAGAGAAAGAAAACCCTTGCACTCTATTGGTGGAAATATAAATTAGTATAGCCTTTATGGAAAATAGTAAGGGGGTTCCTCAAAAAATTAAAAATAGAAATATCATATGATCCAGGAATCCCAGTTCTGGATATATACCCAAAGAAAGCCTTATTTGAAAAGATATCTCACTCCCATGTTCATTGCAGCATTATACACAATAGCAAAAATATACACAATAGCAAAAATATACACAATAGCAAAAATCAACCTAAGTGTCCATCAACAAAAAATGGATAAAGAAGATGTGGTTTATATACACTATAGAATACTATTCAGTAATTTTAAAAAAGAAAGAAAGCTTGCCATTAATTATAACATGTATTTCCTGGAGGACATTAAGTGAAATAAGTGAGACACAGAGAAACAAATGGAATCTAAAACAGTTAAACTGACAGAAACGGAGTAAGATGGTGCTTACCAGAGGCTGGGGGGTGGGGAATACAGACAGATCTTAGTGAAAGGATACAAAATTTCAGTTAGGAGGAATAAATTCAAGTGATCTATTGTACATCATGATGGCCATACTTAATAACAATATATTGTATTCTTAAAAATTGCCAAAATATTATATTTTAAATATTCTCATCACAAAAAAGGAGGTAATAAATATGTTAAATAGCTTAACTTAGCCATTCCACAATGTATTCATATATCAAAACACCATGATTGTATACTGTAAAGAAATACAATTTTTATTTGTCAATGGAAAAAATAATTGTTTCTTTTTTTTTTATTATACTTTAAGTTTTAGGGTACATGTGCACATTGTGCAGGTTAGTTACATATGTATACATGTGCCATAAAATAATTGTGTTTCTGTACAGTAACACTGAATTATCTGGAAAAACAAATGCCATTTACAGTATCATCAAAATGAATAAAATATTTAGAAATAAATTTAACCCTGGAAGTGATTAATCTTTACACTTAAAACTATAAAATATTGATGAAATAAATTGAAGAAAATACAAATAAATGTTTAAAATATTTCATGCTCATGGAATAGAAGAATTAATACTACTAAAATGTCCATAATACCCAAAGTAATTGACAGATTCAATGCAATTCTTATCAAAACTCTAATGATATTTTTCACAGCATTGGAGGAAAAATTCTAAAATATGTATGGAACCACAAAAAAACATAAATAGCCAAAACAACTTGAACAACAACAACAGAAAAGCTGAGGCATCACATTTCCTGACTTGAAACCATATTACAGAACCATAAGAATCAAAACTGTATGATACTGGCATAAAAGCAGACACACAAACCAATGGAACAGAATCAAGTCCCCAAAAATAAATCCTCACATATATGGTCAACTAACTAATATTTGACAAATGTGTCAAGAATATACAGGAGAAAGGATACTTGATTCAATAAATGGTGCTGGGAAAACTTAGTATCTATATGCAAAATAATAAAATTGAACCATTATCTTACGTAACTCACAAATCTGATAAGGAGTTAATATCCAAAAAATACAAGGAATTCAAACAACTCCATAGCAAAAATAATACAATAAATTGATTTTTAAACGGCCAAAGGACCTGAGCTGACATTTCTCAATAGAAGACATACATATGGCCAACAGATACGTGAAATAATGATAATGCTCAACAGCACTATTCATGAGAGAAATGAAAATTAAAACCCCAATGAGATCAGCCAACATGTTAGGATGGCTATTATCGAGACGAGATAACAAGTATTGGCAAGGATTCAGAAAGAAAGGGAATCCTTATGCACTACTGGTGGGAATGTAAATTGGAACAGCCATTTTAGAAAACAGTATGGAGGTTCCTCAAAAATCAAAACTAGAGCTACCATCTTATCCAGCAATCCCACTGCTGGGTATATACCCAAAGGAAACGAAAATAGTATGTCAAAGAGATATATGCACTCTTGTGTTCAATGTAGCATCATTCACATTAGCCAACACTTGGAAACAAACCAAGCATCCATCAAAAAGAAGGAAATTCTGCCACTTGCAACAACATGGATCAACCTTGTTGGCATTATGCTTAGTAAAATACATGAATCAGAGAAAGACAAATACGATATGAACTCACTTATACATGAAATCTTAAAAAGCTGAATTCACAGAAACAGAGAATAGAATTAGAATGGTGGTTTCCAAAAGCTGGGGGAGGGGAAAATAGGGAGATGTTGGTCAGAAGGTACAAGCTTTCAGTTATAAGGCGAACAAGTTCTGGGGATTTAATATGCAGCATGGTGAATATAGTTAACAATACAGTATTTAATATTTGAAATTTGTTAAGAGAGTAGATCTTAAATATTCTCACCACAAAACAAGAAAAAATATGTCAGCTGATGGATAGGTTAATTAGCTGGTTTGTGGTAATCACTTCACAATATATACATATGTCAAAACATCATACACATAGTAAGTGTATGCAATTTTTACTTGTTAATTATACCTTCACAAAGCTGCAGTGAAAAGAACAGAGGTAAAACTATATTATTTTCATAAATTGCATAAGTGTATATTTTATGATTACTATGAAAAAGGGGTTTTTTAAATTTCTATTTTTAGTTTAGATTCAGGGGGATACATGGGCAGGTTTATTACAAGGGTATATTGTGTGATGCTGAGGTTTGGGCTTATATTAATCCTGTCACCCAGACAGTGAATATAGTATACAATAGGAAATTTTTCAGTCCTTGCTCCTCTCCTCCTCTCCTTCCTTTTGGAATCCCTAGTGTCTACTGTTTCCATCTTTATGTCTGTATGTACCCAGGATTTATCTCCTTAAATTTTAAATCAAGTGAGAAGATGTGGTGTTCGGTTTTCTATTTCTGCATTAATTTGCTAAGGATAATGGCCTCCAGCTGCATCCATATTGCTTCAAAGGACATTATTTCGTTCTCTTTTATGGCTGTGTAGCATTCCATGTTGTATATGTACCACATTTTCTTTATCCAATCCACCATTAATGGGCACCTAGCTTGATTCCATGTCTTTGCAATTGTGAATAGTGCTGCAATGAACATGTGAATGCATGTGTCTTTTGGGTAGAACAATTTATTTGGGTGGGAGGCACATACCCAGTGATGGAATTGCTAGGTTGAATGGTAATTCTATTTTCAGTTCTTTGAGAAATTCCCAAACTACTTTCCATAGTGGCTGAACTAATCTACATTCCCACCAGCAGTATAAAAGTGTTCCATTTTCTCTGCAGCCTCATCAATATCTGTCATTATTTTACTTTTTAGTAATAGCCATTCAGACTAGTGCAAGATGGTATCTCATTGTGGTTTTGAGTGGCATTTCTCTAATGATTAGTGTTCGAGCATTTTTTATATGTTTGTTAGCTGCTTTTATGTCTTCTTTTGAGAATTGTCCATTCATGTTCTTTGCCCATTCTTTAATGGGGTTATTTGTTTTTCTCTTGTTGATTTGTTTAGGTTCCTTATAGATTCTGGATATTAGTCCTTTGTCAGATGCATAGTTTGCAAATATTTTCTCCCATTCTGTAAGATGTCTGTTTATTCTGTTGATAGGTACTTTTGCTGTGCAGAAGCTCTTTGGTTTAATTAAGTCCCATTTGTCAATTTTTTGTGTGTTGCAATTGCTTTTGAGGACTTGGTCATAAGTTCTTTGCCAAGGCCAATGTCCAAAAGGGTATTTCTGAGTTTTTTCCCCAGGATTTTTATAGTTTGGGGCTTTACATTTAAGTCTTTAATCTTTCTTGAATTAATTTTTGTATATGGTGCTTGGTAAGGGTTAAGTTTCATCCTTCTGAATATAGTTAGCCAGTTTTCCTAGGACCATTTATGGAATAGGGAGTCCTTTCTGCATTACTTATTTTTGTCGACTTTGTTCAAGATCAGTTGGTTGTAGGTATGCTGCTTTATTTCTGGGTTCTTTATTCTGTTCCATTGGTCTAGGTGCCTATTTTTGTGCCAGTACCTTGCTGTTTTGATTACTGTAGACTTGTAGCATAGTTTGAAGTCCAGTAATGTGATGCTTCCAGTTTTGCTCTTTTTGCTTAGGATTGTTATGGCTATTTGGGCTCTTTTTTGGTTCCGTGTAATTTTAGAATCATTTTTTCTAGTTCTGTGTAAAATGACGTTGGTAATTTAATAGGAATAGTGTTGAATCTGTAGATTGCTTTAGGCGGTAAAATTTAGACATTTTGTTTATGTTGTTGATTCTTCCAATCCATAAGCATGGAAGGTTTTTCCATTTGTTTGTGTCATCTATGATTTCTTTCAGCAGTGCTTTGTAGTTCTTTTTGTGGAAATCTTTCACTTCCTTGGTTAGAAGTATTCCTAGATTTTGTGTGTGTGTGTGTGTGTGTGTGTGTGTGTGTGTGTGTGTGTGTATTTTAAAGGGAATTACATTCTTGATTTGGCTCTCAGCTTGAACATTATTGGTGTATAGAAATGCTATTGATTTTTTACATTGATTTTGTATCTTCAAACTTGACTTAAGTTGTTTTATCAGGTCTAGAAGCCTTTTGGCAGAGTCTTTGGGGTTTTCTAGTCATAGAATCATAGCATAATTTGACTCCTCTTTTCCTATCTGGATGCTTTTTATTTCTCTCTCTTGCCTGATTTATTTGGCTAGGATTTTCAGTACTACGTTGAATAAGAGTAGTGTCAGAATTCTTGTCTTATTCCAGTTCTTAAAGGGAATGCTTCCAGCTTTTACCTATTTGGTATGATGTTGGCTGTGGGACTGAAATAAATGGCTTTTATTATTTTGAAGTATGTTCTTTGGATACCTAGTTTATTGAGGGTTTTAACATGAAGAGGTGTTGGATTTTATCAGAAGATTTTTCTGCAACTATTGAGAGAATCATATACGGTTTGGGGAAAATAAGGCTTAAAATATTTGATTTCATAAGTTCACGAGAAGGTAAATAGGTAGATTGTTTTGGTTTTGTATTTTTCCCCAAAATATACCAAAAATATTTTCCGATATTTCAAAAAATATCATTTACAATATTTCAGATATTTTGGTAAAATATATGGTCCACCAAAAAAAAAAAAATCAAACAGAGCCAAGTTTTGTGGCACACACCATTAATCCCAGTGACTGGAAAGACTGAAATGGGAGGATTGCTTGAGCCCAAGAGTTTGAGGCCAAAATGAGCCATGATCACACCACTATACTTCAGCCTGGGTGACAGAGTGAGACCCAAAAGCCAAAAGCCAAAAAAAAAAGAGTCAAAAAATAGAAATGTAAAGGATAACATAAAAGCAGTCTCAGAAATCTCTTTCTTCTGGGAACATACTCTTTATCCAGGCTATTTGATGATCAATATCATTAAACACGGATCTCCATCACCACATAAATGAGTTAGCATTATATTTCTTGAATATATCACCCTAGATAACCTTGACTGAATGGGATATTTAATATACACATCAGATATTGTTCTAACTGCTTTATAGTCAACAAACAATTATTGATCCCTGTTACATGCTAGACTCCCTTCCAGGCACCAAACAGCCACTGGAAGCTAATATAGCATCATCAAGGAATGCTGAGTGCAGCATTATCACAGGGCTATCAGGTCCTGACCAATTAGTCTACGGAAATATTGGAAGACAATGTCCGTAAAATTGCATAGTAAGAAATCAACATCTACACGGAACACTATTCCTAAAGAGAGAATGTTTCTATTTGGTGGGATGTTATATAAAAAAAGAAAGAAAAAAAAAGCAATGAACAAATAAAACACTATATATAATTTGGCTGATGAGCTTGTTTTCACAAATAAAAGTAAGCTCCATTAAGTCAGGGACTTTACTGTTTTGTCTATTTAGTTGTTTGCTATATTTCTATTGCTAATCAAATTTGTTGAATTGATTCATTCAGTTACGTGGCAAAAAAGGGGGATCAGATCCATATTCGTTTGGATCTTAGGTTTTAATTGTGGGGAGATACATTTAAAAAAAACAAAATTTAGAGTGATAAGTGCTACGAAAAACACATGGAAATGTGATAGAGATTAGCTGGGGAGGAGGGATTTTAATTTAGATTAAGTAGTCAAGGAAGATCTCGTTGAATAGATTATATCTGAAAAACGATTACAAACAAGGAGTTCAATTTGGGGACAGAATCTGCCAGGCCAATGAAATTCAATGCAAAGACACTTTAACACCTGCAACCCTGGAATGACAAAGGCATGAGACGAATGGGAGAAGGAGGGAGGGATGAAAAGGAGCCAGGCAAGGTGCATCTGGTAGTTCTTGGTAAGGAGTCTGAATTTTATAGTTAAGTGCATAGGAAGTCTAAAAAGATTTCAAATTGGCAAATGGAAATACTTGATTTGTGGTTTTGGTTTTCTTGGGTTTTGTTTTTTGTTTTTTCGAGACACAGTCTCGCTCTGTCGCCCAGGCTGGAGTGCAATGGTGCGATCTCGGCTCACAGCAACCTCTGTCTCCCGGGTTCAAGCGATTCTCCTGTCTCAGCCTCCAGAGTAGCTGGGATTCCAGGCATGCGCCACCATACCCGGCTAATTTTGTATTGTTGTATTGTTGATTTTGTATTGTTAGACGGGGTTTCTCCATGTTTATCAGGCTGGTCTCGAACTCCTGACCTCAGGTGATCTGCCCGCCTCGGCCTCCCAAAGTGCTGGGATTACAGGCGTGAGCCACCGCGCCCAGCCAACGTGTGGTTTTTTTAAAGAACGCTTTTGGCCGCCATATGGAGAATAGATTGAAAGGGGAATGAATTAAAGCAGAGAAACAAGATAGTAATCCATTGGGTAATCCAGGAAAAATAGGGTGGCCCAGTTTGTTAGTCATTCTGGAAATGGAGAGAAGTCGAGCTTGGAATCATTCAGATTTTCAAGATGAGGGCAGGCTAGTAATTAAGGATAACTCCTTAATTACTGGTTTCTGGCCAGAAATAGGTACATGTTTATATCATTTACTACAATGAGGAAGACTGGAATGAGAGCAGATTCAGTGCAATCAAGAGATCTATTTTAGCTATGTTTAGACTCATAATTTTGTGCATGAAATTAGGCAGTTGGAACTACCTATTCCATGCTCAATGTAGAAGACTGGAAATAGACACTTGAAAGCCATCAATATGTAGATGGGATTCAAATCCTTAAAACTCTAAGATTCTATCTAGGGACACAGTATAAACAGAAAAGAATTGAGCCTTTGGCAAGGGCATAGGAATCTCAGGACACTGTATTTCTAAAATTTCTACATATGCCAGCCAATACAGTTACTCTGATATGCGGCCAGTTGTGGAAGCACTGCTAATAACTTCACTTTAAATGGTTTCCATAAGTTAAGGGCTAAAGTAAGCAAGGGAAAAAATTGTTAAATAAAAAGGAAACAGGAAAACATGTCTTGATTTATTCAAAGGGGTATGGAAAGGTCTTATATTAAAGTTTAAGGCAAGGGCATCTGCTTTACAAGCTGGGTATATCCATTTTTTGATAACAAATGAAAACCTTTTTAAAAATTAATTCAAAAATCCAAAGGATTTCTCTATAATTTCTCCAGAGTAACAAACCCATGGATTTTAATCACAGAATAAGGAGCAAGGGACTAGAAAAGTCACTGTGTAGGAATGTATTTAAACCAGAAACATGGGTGGGCATGACAATTTATATACATTTTTGTTTTTCAAATGAAAATTGAATATTTGCTATGGTTGAATTGAAATTGTGAAATTCAATTATAACTTTAAAGTGGTTTTTAAAAGAAAAAGGAGAACTGTAGAAAATTTGACTAAAGGGGAAGAGAAAAATACATAAGTGAAACTGAGATCTCCAGTCAAAGTGAACAGTTTCAAGTATTCAGATGTTTAGAATCTTGATAGACAAAAATGTACCATTAGTAGATGTTATGTTTCTTTTTATCATCATTATTATAGCATTTATAAAGAATACATACACATACATATGTATATACTATGTATATAGTATATATATTTCATATATGTGTGTATTATATATAAAATCCTAAAGGAAGTGCTTATAAGGAGAGTATTTTCCAGATGTTTTATCAAATATCAGCATAAACTTTCCCCAAATATTTCTGCAGCACACAGACACCCTGAACTGATTGAAATTGTAACAGTTAATACTTATTTGGATGCTGTGTGCCAACCAGTACTGTAGTATTTACATATGTTAAACTTATTGAATCCTTACATTCGCCCTTTAAATTATGTATTATAATATCCCCTATTATAGATAAGAAATCGGAGGCAATGAAGGTTAAGTAATTTTCCCAAGTTCACACATCTGGTAACTGTAGCCACCAGGATTTCAGCCCAGAAAGTCTGGCTCCACAATCTATCCATCTAACCATTACACTATACTATATCTCAAGTGTAAAATATATTGATTATCGTACAGAAGCAGATAGTTAAAATTATTTTATTGATCAGTAATGTCATCCACATTTGAACATGTATCATGAGGCAGCCAATTCGTGCTTATGTATTTTATTAAAACCAATTATTACTGATATGTAATTTTAATTTAAGGAAGCTGTTAAAACCTATGATTATAAGCCAACTCACAAAAATTTTCATAGTATATACTTACTCTAGAATTTAATGTGTAAATAGTGACCTCTGAGACAATAACAAAACTAATTGTCGTAGACAATGAAGTATTTGAATCATCCCTCATGGTCACCAAAACAACTGAGAAAAAATGTAAATCTTATGATTCTGGTCTTACTGTTTAGAGCTTTGGGGATTAAACATCTCTTTCAAATACAACTGTTCTGACCATGGGTATCAGAGATAACCACTAGAGGTACCTCATTTAAATGATATCTGCTCAGAGCAAGTTTAGTTCCACAATCAATATTTGTGCTTTGAATGGTAAGATTTTTCTGTAGCTAAGTATAATTGTAGTGTTGGAAATCTACATTATTTAAGAGTAAATTTTATATTATAATACATTCACAACCAAAAAAATATGAAAATACATTTTCTTATTTCTTTGTCCTATAGTTTTCCTTCATATTAAATAACTTTTACATCTACTAAACCTGCCCTAGTGAAATATTAGGGTATGGTCTAATTCTAGGCTGGCATTTTCTATGACACTGTACTCTAGTAAAGTTAATTGGATGCAGTCCCAATGGTTTAGATAATCTTTTTGATTATCTGAGTCTTCAGGTAATACTGGGAAATTTTGTTCAATTCTGATTCTGAATTATCCGGTTGCTTTTCCTAATGTTTCTCTATGGTCAAGACCTACTTGCAGGTTGATTTAAACTCAGAACAAGAAGTAAGAATTTGTGACAGGTTTCATCCTCTTACTTGAAGTCATATATTCGAGAAGGAGGAGTCCTGTTGAGAATCTCTACCCTAACACACTTTGGGAAAAGCAGAATTCTCCGTGGCACTGCAGGGAAATCATGAGAAATTTACAGCCCTGGAGAAAAAAATGCTTAACCGGGATCTATTTTCCATAGTGTGGATTCTACAAAAGTCGAGAAGTAGAATGGCAAAGGAACTCCCTCTGGATCACAGTAATGTTCATCCTTAATCTCTTGGAGAAACAGTATGCCTGGATTGGTAAAACAATTTGTAGAAAGTAGAAGAAAAAGAACTTAGATCTGTATGGGCTGGTTTTATTTCAGAAGTCTGAGAATAAATATTGATCCAGCAGAAACAAAAGCGAGAAAGATAGATTAAATTGAAAATGAAGAATTCAGATACTTGTTTTTAATTTTGTTTTGTTTTGTTTTTTAATGCCATTTGTGAAACTTGTCAGCAAAATATTTTATTCTTGAAGGTTGTGGAGCCATAAAGGACTCAGATTTTATGTATCCATTTCTAAATCTCATACTGTGCATGAAAATTTATTTGAAGATTTTTCTATGTCACTTTTTAATAGGCAGAAGGAGGATTTTTATTCTTTCCTGAGTTAATCTTTATGGACTGTAGTAATAATGAAATAGTTAAGAAATTAACAGCATAATATTGATTTTAATTTTAAAAGAATTTTCAGGTTTTTATATAATTTTAACTGAAGCCCTATTTTATTCAGAAGTTAGGCACAATTATACACATCAACGAGTCTGTTAAAATAAATAAGCATTAATTATTGATGCCCCTGCTCAGACATTATGGAACTTTAATGGGGTGTGACAGCTTGAAATATCTTTCAGAGAATTATTTTTCTTTCTATCCAATTTGATTAATGGCAAAACTCAGAATCAAATCATAATTTTTGAAAAGCTAATGCTAAAGAAATCACAAAATGATTTTCTCAAAACGGCTATTTCAACCACCATCTCCGGTTAGTCTCACAAATGTATCCACTTTTGAATCATGGCCACAGTTGGAAGTAATTTCTTAATAACATTCAAAAAAACATATTTGAAATGGCATAACAAACAAAAAAAGCACAACTTTTTGTACTACATCTATATAAAGAGAGAGAAGAAGCACCAGTTTGATATTTATCTGGGTTTTGTTTGTTTTTGAGACAGGATCTTGCTCCAGCACCCAGGGTGGAGTGCAGTGGTGCAATCATAGCTCACCGCAACCTCAAACTCCTGGGCTCAAGTGATCCTCCCGCCTCAGCCTCCTGAGTAGCTGGGACTATAGGAGTACGCCACCACACCTGGCTAATGGCTGTTATTTTTTAACCAAATGTTTTATATTAGCTTTTTGACCACTTTATTGAAGTATGACTGACATACAAAAGCAGTACAGATTTAATGTATACAACTTGATGAGTTTGAAGGTGAGTATATACCTGTGAAACCATCAACACAATCTATCCCATATATACATCCATCACCTCCAACAGTTTCCTCCCACCTTCTTTATTGTGTTGTGTATGTGTGTGCGTGTGATGAGAACACTTAACATAAGATCTACCCTCCTAGCAAAATTTTAAGTATACAATATAGTATTTCTTAAATGTAGTGTAAAGTGGCTGACAAGTTTTAAGGAGATGGATGACATGATTTCATCAAATGTTGTAACAATGTAAAGGCATAAGACTGGATGCAAGGACTGGATGCAAGACTATTGCCAGAATCCAGAAAAGAAATCATAGTGATTTGAATTAGGGTTGTGGTGGTAGGGATTTTTTAAAGTGATAGGATAATTAGCATATATATTTGCATCCAAATTTACCAGTTTTGGTGATAAGGCGTTAAGAATGAGAGAGACAAGGCGTCCAAGGGTAAACACCAGATGTCCTACATAACAAACTAGGAGATCAAAGGTGCTTAGTCACTAAGATATGAAAAAAGAAGAACAATCTTTCCTCACTCTTTTTTAAGGTTTATTTTTAATTAAGCAACAATTGTATATGTTTATGGGGTGCAATATAATGTTTTAATATATGTTTATAATGTGTAATGATTAAATCAGGCTAATTAACAAACCCATCACCTAACATACTTATTTTTTGTGGTGAAAACACTTAAAATCTACTCTTAGTAATTTTGAAATAAACAATGCATTATTGTTTATTGTAGTCACCATTCTGTGAGATCACTAAAACTGGTTCCTTTTTTCTAACTGAAACTTAGTACCCTTGATCAACATCTCCCCTTTTCCCATCCATCTCCTGCCCCCACTCTCTACCTCTATGAGTTCAACTTTTTTGGATTCCATATATAAATGAAATCATGCAATATTTGTCTTTCAGCTTACTTCAGTTAGCATGATGTCCCCAGGTTCATCCTCCAGGTTATCACATCTTTTCCTCATCCTACCATTAGCCCAGTACTTAAATTTTATAGGTGAATTTACTGATCAAATAAAAGAATATGTTCATTTTATCAAGCTAACTAGCTTATAAAGAATCATAGGGTCATTTTAGAACCAGCATCTATTTCAAACTTTCAAATCTACACGTTAGATAATTCAGACCTCAAGTTTAAAAGTGAACTCCCCAAGGTCACCTGGATTTTTTTTAAAAAATCTAATATTAAACTCATTGCCATAAAAGAATCTATGACAAATAGCAGATTTCTTGGCTGTAATTTTTACTTTTATCCATTAAATTTTTTCAATTAGTAACATAAATTATCTCTCTTTGTTTAGTTCTAATTTTATCAAATTATTTAGATAGTTCATGTTGACAAATTGTTTCTTCCTCTTTTCCTTTTCTTCTTCCTCTCCCTCCTCCTTCTCCTCCTCTACCTCTTCTTCCTTCTTCTTCCTTCTCCTTATCCTTGTATCATCATCTACCTCCTCCTCCTCCTTTTCTCACTCTAGGATTTAGACATTGAAGGACTATGGACCAAAGCAATTATAGTTCTTTACATGGTTTTATTCTGCTTGGCTTCTCTAACCATCCAAAAATGGAGATGATCCTGTCAGGAGTTGTCGCCATCTTCTACTTAATTACATTGGTGGGTAACACAGCCATCATTCTTGCATCTCTCCTGGATTCCCAGCTTCATACACCAATGTACTTTTTCCTCAGAAATTTATCTTTCCTAGATCTATGTTTCACAACCAGCATCATCCCTCAGATGCTGGTCAACTTGTGGGGACCTGATAAGACCATCAGCTATGTGGGTTGTATCATCCAACTCTATGTTTACATGTGGTTGGGCTCAGTTGAGTGCCTTCTCCTGGCTGTTATGTCCTATGATCGTTTTACAGCTATATGTAAGCCCTTGCATTATTTTGTAGTCATGAACCCACATCTATGTCTAAAGATGATTATCATGATCTGGAGTATTAGTTTGGCCAATTCTGTAGTATTATGTACACTCACTCTGAATTTGCCCACATGTGGAAACAACATTCTGGATCATTTCTTGTGTGAGTTGCCAGCTCTGGTCAAGATAGCTTGTGTAGACACCACAACAGTTGAAATGTCTGTTTTCGCTTTAGGCATTATAATTGTCCTCACACCTCTCATCCTTATTCTTATATCCTATGGCTACATTGCCAAAGCTGTGCTGAGAACGAAGTCAAAAGCAAGCCAGCGAAAAGCAATGAATACCTGTGGATCTCATCTTACTGTAGTGTCTATGTTCTATGGAACTATTATCTACATGTACCTGCAACCAGGTAACAGGGCTTCCAAAGACCAGGGCAAGTTCCTCACCCTCTTTTACACCGTCATCACTCCAAGTCTCAACCCGCTCATTTACACCTTAAGAAATAAGGACATGAAGGATGCCCTGAAGAAACTGATGAGATTTCACCACAAATCTACAAAAATAAAGAGGAATTGCAAGTCATAGATAAAGACTAGAGTGAATAAGGCAATTAAATATGTTTTCTAATTTTCTTTAATTTTTACAAATGCAAGTAATTCCTAGGTCATGGAGATCCATAAATATAATTATTATATACAAACATTTTGTAGATGCAAACAAAATTACAACCATTCTACTTAGCTCCTTTATGTCCCTGATCATTGGTATATCATCAGAGAAAACAGATCATTAGAAATTTTATTTTTGCTTGAAATAAAACACAAATGGGATGTAAACATAAATTTGAATGCATTTAATTTATTCTAAAACCACATAGAAACTGTTTTGGTTATCTAGTTTTGTATTTTCAATGTTAATCCTTGCCTCTTCCAAAGTATAGACCTGAGCAAATGGTTTCATATACATTATGGTGTGTATATTAAATAATATACCCATAATGTTCATTCTATTGGAGCTTGAGAAAAAATATACATATACACAATAATGATTTTGTACACCCAATCTTTTGTAATGCCACCCAAATATTTATTTGTGTTTGATGCAAACAGTGCAGTTTATAAGACAGTAATTGTCATAAGCCCCATTTAAAACAATTCACTCTTTTTTCAATGAAATTTCAAATCGATATCTTGAGTAAAGGGTCTCTGCTATTTAAGTCTATTACTACTCTATCGTAATATAAAGCCACAAATTAAAGGGTTTTAAAGGTAATGACACAGTCTTATCAATTTCTCTTTCATTCGTTAAATGTTTATTCCATGATTGTCTCAACTTAATGGAAAGATAATATGACTAGTTTGAAACCAGTTAGGCTTTTGACATACATCTGTGGAACTGGCGGATTTACGTGAATTTTTAGAAATGTGGTAATGTTTATATGTAGTGGAATTGCATAACAGAATAAATCTTTTTATTTCTATTTATCATAATATAATATTTAGCTTTTATGGGACAATGTGATTACTTTTTAATTAAACTTTTATTTTTGCCATGATCTGATACCTTTCTCTAAAAGTGCCCATTATTTAATAATAGTAGCCAATCTAGATAGATCTAGAAAGACACACTGCTAGAATCTAAAAATATATATTTTCTCTTCCATCATGTCATCTTTAATGATGAGCAGCACACCACTAGCATTTTGAGTTGTCCCTTTCTTTGGTGTACCACTGGTTTTCACAATGTGGATAATATGTTACAGTAAGATCAGGAGAGATGGTAATTATGCCTTTCTTTTGTGAAGGAGGAGAAGGGATCTTTGAAAGTGAAGGCTGGAAAGAGAACCTGTCTAACTCCTCAACCTGGCATTTCCTCAAGAAAATGTTAGCGAAGAAAACAAAGGAACAAGGAGGATCTGGAAGTTATTTCCTTAAAACTAACTTTATAACCCTACAAAAGTCTCTGCATCCCAGAGTGTGCCCCCCCGTTGAAGCCCATTGTCTTAGACTATGGTTCTCTTAACAAGCCATACAAATCTCTATGAAGGTTAGAATTGCATTGTTTTGTAAATATTATTTATAGAACTGATAAGCCTCTAGCCAATGTAATTATAAGTTTCTTGAAAGCATAATTTTGTATAGTTCTTTCTCGATTCACCATCATATAATAGGGTTCCATGACTCTTAGTAGGCATTGAATATTTTTAACGATTTGGATGAATTTTTCAGTGTTCATGCAAATGTTTGTAAACAGAGCAAAAATCATCTTATCATTTTTAACTAAAAAAAACATACACAAATATGAGCTAAGCAGAATATCCCAAGCCTTCAAAAACATGTCCTAGAAAATTTCGGAAATGTCTTACCTTGACCTGCATCATAATTATGCTTAATTACTGTTGTGGAGCACCAGTCTCAACGGGCTTAACAATATCCTGAAACTAAGTCAGCTCTCTTAGATTTTATACCCATCACATTTATCTTTTTCTAAGGTTAGCCCTTGGCCAGGGCAGGAAAATGTTTCTGCCACTCACAAAACACTCAGTAAATAGGTAATTTTCAAAACCACATATGCCTAGTGTTGGAAAAATGCAATATAATACAATCTAGTTTATTGCCTATTTTCCTTTCATATGGACATCTCCAGATTCTTCCACAAGAAGTTCAACTCTGATTGGTACCAATTAACCACAACATGGTAGATGTTGACTAGTTCAGACAAGGAAATTCATAATGATTTATGATTAAAGATAAAAGCAACCCTTCTGAGTCAACCATCATAACTTGAGGAGTGGTGGACTAAGAAAACCATAGTAGAAAATGCACATAATGACTCCCCTCAGTGCAAGTAAATAGCTAATTCTTTCAATATTTCTCTTCTTTAGAAGACTATAATCTAAAAAATACATTATTCAAATTCAGAGAATCACGAATATCTAGAGAAAATGAAATGCCATTTTTACTGTATCTGTTTATATTCATAACAATTATTAATTTTCTCTCATTTCTTAAACAAAAACTTATAAATGGATTCAAGCAGAAGATGCTATGATACTCAATTGTCATATAGTGATGAATTTTGAAGTACAGGAACCTCTAGAGGTCAAATACATATATATGCACTTATTATCCAATTCTAATCCCATTATTTTAATTGATGTGTTTGGGTATCTTTGCAAGTACATACATTTACCTACTTTACAATGAATATTTATATCTTAAATAAATTTACTGACATGTATTATTGAAGTATGTTGCATAAAAATGATATGGCATATCAAATTTTCAAACATGCTGTAAAAATTAAGCTAATTATTAATTGGTAACATTTTTCAAGCAATACCTGGGTATAGATGCTGATAATTTATAAGTCTAAATATGTACCCAACTTACTGAAGTACATTGATTCATTTTATCACTTTTATAGATATCAGTTCATCCAGGTCTCTGGCATTTCTGATATTGGTTTTTGTATTAATACATAAGTTAATTTTTTTTTTGAGATGGAGTCTGTCTCTGTCGCCCAGGCTGGAGTGCAGTGGCACAATCTCAGCTCACTGCAACCTCCACCTCCCGGGTTCATGCCATCCTCCTGCCTCAGCCTCCCGAGTAGCTGGGACTACAGGCGTGTGCCACCACATCCGGCTAACTTTTGTATTTTTAGTAGAGACAGGGTTTCACCATATTGGCCAGGCTGGTCTCGAACTCCTGACCTCAGGTAATCCACCCACCTCGGCCTCCCAAAGTGCTGGGATTACAGGCGTGAGCCACCGTGCCCAACCTGCATAAGTTAAATTTTAAAATTCTTTCTACTTTCTGAAGAAATTCTGACACTCTCCATTGTATTTCTGAAAATTATTTTCTATGGGAGAAGGATTCTATTATTTTTGAGGATTTTTGTTTAAAATACTGCTCCTGATAAATTTTTAACCTCCTCTCACAGTTGAGTCCCTGTGGCCACTGTCCTTACCAATTTCTACTGTACGAAACAGCTTCTTCTCCACTTAAAGACTATTTCTTGTCCTCTTGCCAGTGAACCAAGCCTATTTTCTTTTATTCTCTAAAGTACCACTAACAAGTGGGGAATGCAGTTAGTGGGATTTTCATAAAGAACTGGGAATAATAAAGGAGGATTATACTGCAGGATAAAAAGGAAAACATTGCCTAATGAATATTTGACTTCTTAAAATTCCTTAGCAATCCCTACCACAGAGCTTTGCTCTCTGGATGTCTGCTTTTTTAGGTCCCCCTTGCTCCATGTTTTGGAAGATCTTATTTACTTTCGGTCCCAACTTCTATTCCAATCTGTCTTTGTCTCTGACCTAGGACCTCCAATTCTTTCAACTGTAGTGTCTGTGAAGGAATAATGTCACTATCACTTAGAGAGAAATATTTGTCTGGCTCTATCTTCTATAAACACTAGAATAAGGGGTAAAGATACACTCACCTTGCATTAGAAAATAGAATTTGTTGTTTTAAGTAAAAGAACACCTTTTCTTCTGCTGCTGCTGCTCCATTCCTCAGAACACAGATGCAATTAAAACAATTCCAATCTTCTATTTTTCCCCATTACATCCCTTAACTAAAGAGTATACAATTTTGATCCATGTGATTATAAGGAGCACATATTTGGTATTATTACTAAGAAGCTTTCTGTATTAATAATGCATATTTTTAGCTCACACTTTTACAATTTAATTTATACAAACCTTTCTACAATTCAGTGATTTCTCTTTATATTGATGTCTTGAATAGAACTGACCAAGTTTATGTTTCAATGAATAAAATTTTGAAATTGAAAAATAATACACTTTTTGAAACTATCTAGGTGGAGAAGTAACATGAAAAGGATTTTTTAAAAAGAAGCTACTTCCATGTCCTGAAAACCTGGAGTAATATTTAATGTAGAGTAATTGTGTAGAAAATTTTCTAGTACCAATAAGTACCCATTTATGAATATGTGGGTCCATTCCCAACACTGGAGCAATTCCAGTACCTGTTTTCACTAATTGTACTCCCAAATTCCAAATCACTGTGTAGAAATTAATTCTACTAGGTAATTAACTCCAGGTCAATTTATTCTCTTTAAAATCAGTTGGATGGAAATGTTCCTTGGTAGTTCTTTTTATTTATGTTTTCTTACCAATCTCATTATTCTTCATAGACAAGTTTCTTCAGAGAAACACTTTGTCATGGTAACTGTAGTATACTTTAAAACACTTTGTCAGGCTATTGATATAAGTGCATTTATTCATTCAAATATTACATTCTATGGGCCGGGCACAGAGGCTCACGCCTGTAATCCCAGCTCTTTGGGAGGCCGAGGCGGTGGATCACGAGGTCAGGAGATCGAGACCATCACAGCTAACATGATGAAACCCCGTCTCTACCAAAAATACAAAAAATTAGCTGGGCGTGGTCGCGGGCACCTGTAGTCCCAGCTACTCGGGAGGCTGAGGCAGGAGAATGGCGTGAACCCGGGAGACAGAGCTTGCAGTGAGCCCAGTGAGCCAAGATCATGACACTGCACTCCAGCCTGGGAGACAGCAAGACTCCGCCTCAAAAAAAAAAAAAAAAATATATATATATATAACATTTTATGGACATGAGTGGCTCTAATCAGTAAATGTACACTATTAGATGGGGAGGTCAACTAGCATTTAGCCAGAAAGGCTGCCCTCCAAGGCAGCTACCACAGGACCTTCAGTTATCTACCTCTTGGTCAACATTTGATGCCTAGCCAACTCACATAATAATTGAGGTTTAAATCAGTTATCATCCTGAAATTAGTGGTACCAAATATATGAGGGTCATCTAACATATTTTAGAAACATTCCCTATTCTTCTATGAAGGGCATAAGAACCTAGCAAGATGTGTAGCCTAAACTTTAGGGGTAGTGCCCAAGACTTGTTCCCTAAATGGGCCTGTGTCCTACTATGGATAAGTTCCACTTTCTCAATGCTGACATGAAAGTAAAACCCTACCTCTGTTGTCTTATCTTCTTCAAATACACCTTTCTACAAGGTACTTTGGAGTATTTTAAAGGGCAGAGAGCTGAGGATTTATTAAATTTACAGAGAAGATGACATAAACTGTCTTATGCTAATGTCTGGTTAACTAATCTCTATATTCATGGCAGAATTTGATCAGAGTCATTTTCATCATAACTGGGACATAGGATTGTGGTGGTAAATGCTAACCATACGCCCACTTCACCTTTTTCAGCCACTATGATTAACTACCAAAAATGACCCTGTTGCTGAGCATGACCAAATTGGGTTAGGCTAGTTCAAAACACACTCTATTTTTCTCATTAGACACTGTTCATTACTTCTTAATTTGTTGCACCTTGCTTTTAGTCCCTCTGAACTAAAATGCTTAAGAGCAAATATCAACTAGAGTTTCTACTCTGTTGTTTTACATTAGCTGAAAAATACAGGTATATCCCCCAAAAAATAAGAAGAAAGAAAACTATCATTATTTTAAGATAACAGAATCCACTCCATTTTTAACACAAAAAAATTATGTTATTAGAAATCCCTATAGACTCCGTGAAAAAGAAATATACAGAATAAATATTTAAAATCTTCTGCACAGCAAAAGAAACTACCAACAGATTAAACAGACAACCTACAAAATAGGAGAAAATATTTGCAAATTAAGCATCCAACAAAGGTCTAATATCCAGAATCTATAAGAAATTTAAACAAATCAACAAGCAAAAACAACCCCATTTAAAAATGAGCAAAGACATGAACCAACACTTCACAAAAGAAGACATACACATGTCCAACAAGCATATGAAAACATGCTCAGTATCACTAATCGTTAGGGAAAGGCAAATCAAAACCACAATGAAATACCATCTCACACCAGTCAGAATGGACATTATTAAAAAGTCAAAAAATAACAGATGTTAGTGAGGTTGCAGAGAAAATGGAATACTTACACACGGCTGGTGGGAATTTCAATTAGTTTAGCCACAGTGGAAAACAGTTTAGAGATTTCTCAAAGAACTCAGAACTACCATTTGACCTAACAATCCCATTACTGGGTATATACCCAAAGAAATAAAAATTGTTCTACCAAAAAGACACATTCACTCGCATGTTCATCACAGCACTATTCACAGTAGCAAAGACATAGAATCAATCTAGATGCCCATCAGTGGTGGACTGGATAAAGAAAATGTGACATATATACACCACAGAATACTATGCAACCATAAAAAGAATGAAATCATGTCCCTTGCAACAGCATGGATGGCAGCTGGAGGCCATTATCCTAAGTGAATTAATGCAAAAACAGAAAACCAAATACCACATGTTCTCACTTATAAGTATGAGCTAAACATTGAGTACACACAGACACAAAGAGGGGAACAACAGACACCTGGGCCTACCTGAGGGTGGCAGGAGGAAGGAGGGTGAGGATTGAAAAACTACTTATTGGGTACTATGCTCACTATCTGGGTGACAAAATGATTTGAACACCAAACCTCAGCAACACACAATTTACTCAAGTAACAAACCTGCATATGTACCCCTAAACCTAAAATAAAAGTTAAAAAAAAAAATTTAATTTAAAAAATACATATATAGCTCTCCTAACAACAATAAGCAATGAGCAATTAAATAAAATGATATCAATAAAGATGAACTTAACATATGTTGAACATTTTTAAGGTATTATTAATCTTTACCAAGAAAAAGGGAAAAACAAATAAAATGAGACATGCCACATTCTTCAAAAAATAACTTTTAAATATAAATTTAAATGCAGACATTTCAAATAATTGTCTGCATTGTGTTTGGATTGTAACAAATTTATTTCAAGATTTATTTGGTCAAATTACAGCTTAGAAGAGTCAAGCCATTTTCATAAACGAATAATAAGCAAGGATTTGCTCTGGCCAGCACTGAAATACTATCAAATATTACTAAGGGTTTGATTTGGGGTCAAGAGCAGTGGCTCCTGCCTGTAATCCCAACATTTTGGGAGGCCTAGGCAGGAGGATAGCTTGAACTCAGGAGTTGGAGACCAGCCTGGGCAACAGAGTGAGACACCCCTGTCTCCACAAAAAACAAACAAATAGCCGGGCGTGGTGGCCTGTGCCTGTAGTCCCCGCTACTCGGGAGGCTGTAGTGGGAGGATTACGTGAGCCTGGGAGGCCGAGGCTGCAGTGAACAGAGATTGTGCCACTGCATTCCAGTCCGGGTGACAGAGTGAGGCTCTGTCTCAAAAAAGAAAAAGAGTTTGATTTGCATATGATTGAAACAACATTGCCTCAAAACAGACCCTAGTGTGTTTTACATTACAACAGTAAATATGAAAAGAATGACATTACAAATTAGTGTGTGATGAAGGCCTATTTGTTGACCAGCGTGAGAAAACTGATGAAAGATCTAGAAATAAAATTTGTCAGTAAAAACAATACCTAAAAAACATACATTATTATAAATTTTAAATTGATTAAAAAATGTAGAGAGTTCCAGCAGAGATCCCAGGCCTGAAGCAGCGGCGAACCTGTCTTCCCCACCCCACCTCGGTGACCTGGTGGCCGCCGGCACACAGCACCTTTGGATGGCCGCGGGTGTGCCGGGCGGGAAGAAACACGCAGAGGCTGCTGGGGTGCAGGGCCCGCGAAGGCGGAGTTAGGGAGAGGCCTGGCCTCCTCTTTAGGCCACGGCGCCGCGCAGATGCTGTCCTCGGGGGACCTCTCTGTCCCAATTGGGTGAGACCTACCTGGTCCTGATGACAACAGACAACAGCCTTAACGGCCGGAAGGTCAGCGAAGTCCCGGATGAGGACGGGTGGAATGGTAGCGACCATGGGGCAGTTGGCCTTCCTTCTACCAGACGTTGATGTGGGAAAAGAGAAACGGAGTAACAGGACACATTTAGCGATTTGGAGATTCCCATCACGCTTTGGGAGGATGTACCGGCGTTTATAGGAGACCTGCGTGTATAATGTGAGAAAGCTGCTCTCAGCTTCCCCCAAAACTTTTACAAGGAAACATTTGCCACATCTAGCCTTTCCAGATGTATAGAGGTTACCGACCTATGATAGAGTTAGAAAATCACACATGGAATTTTTTAAATTCCATATTACAGAGTAGGTAATCAGTATGTAATTGTATCAGTGGATTACAAAATCTGGAGATTATATTCTGAGAATCTATTTTTGCCAACACAATAAGAGCCATATATTACAAGCCCACAGCTAATATCATAATGATAAAAAGTTGAAAGCTTTCCCTCTAAGATCCAGAACAAGATAAAGATGCCCACGCTCACCACTTCTGTTCAACATAGTACTGAATGTCCTAGCCAGAGCAGTTAGGCAAGAAAAAGAAAAAAAGGCATACAAATTGGAAATGAAGAAGTGAAACTGTCTCTTCTGATGACATGATCCTTTATTTGGAAAACCCTAAGAACTCCAACAACAAAAAAAGCTATTCAAATAAACAAATTCAGTAAAGTTACAGGTTACAAAATCAATATACAAAAATCAGTAGTGTTTCTATGCACTAACAATCATCTGAGAAGAAATTAAGTAAACAATCATAATTAAAAAATAAATTAATTAAAATAACTAGGTGCAAATTTAACCGAGGAGGTGAAAGATTTGTACACTTGAAAACTATAAAACACTGATATTTAAAATTACAAAAGACACAAAAATTGAAAAATACCTCATGTTCATGGATTGGGAAAATTAGTATTTTTAAAATACCTATACTACCCCAAATAAAGATTCAATGCAATCTCTATCCAAGTACCAATGTCATTTTGTAGAGAAATAGAAAAAACGATTCTAAAATTTGTCTGGATCCACAAAAATCCATAGCCAAAGTAACCTTGAATCAAAAAACAAACAAACAAAAAAAAACGGGAGGCATCATAATACCTGGCTTCAAAATCTACTGTGAACCTATAGTCATCAAAACAACAGGATACTGGCATAAAAACAGACACAAAAACCAATGGAACAAAATAGCGTAAAAATCAATCCATACATTTACAATCAATTGATTTTCAACAAAGGTGCCAAGAACACACAATGGGGACAGGGCAGTCTCTTCAATAAACGGTGTTGAAAAACTGAATATCCACATGTTGAAGAACGAAATTACATGCATACCTCAAACCATATACAAAAATCAACTCAAAATGCATTAAAGACTTAAACATAAGACTATTAAACTACTAAAAGAAATCATAGAAATGCTCCATGACATTGATCTGGTCAATGATTTTTTGGATATGACCTCAAAAGCACAGTCAACAAAAGCAAATATAAATAAATGAGATTATATCAAATTAAAGAGCTCCTGTACAGTCAGGGAAACAAATAAAATAATGAAAAGACAACCTATGGAGTGGGAGAAAATATTTGCAAATGATGTATCTAATAAGGGGCTAATATCTAAAATATATAAGAAGCTCAAACAAGAAAACATAATTCTATTTTAAAATGGAGCTGGCTGTGTTGGTTCACATCTCTAATCTCAGAATTTTGGGAGGCCAAGATGGGTGGATCACTTGAGGTCAAGAGTTCGAGACCAGCCTGGCCAACATGGTGAAACCCCGTCTCTACTAAAAATAGAAAAATTAGCTAGGCATGGTGGTACGTGCCTCTAGTCTCAGCTACTCAGGAGGCTGAGGCACAAGAATCACTTGAACCTGGGAGGTGGAAGCTGCAGTGAGCCGAGATTGTGTCACTGCACTCCAGCCTGGGAGACAGAGAGAGACTCCATCTCAAAAATAAAAATAAAAAATAAAATAAAATAATTTAAAAATTTTAAAAATGAAAATAAAAATGGGCAAAAGACCCAAATACACATTTCTCAAAAGAAGACCTACAAATGGCCAACATGTATATGAAAAATGCTCAACATCACTAATCAATGGGGAGATGTAAATTAAATGCACAGTGAGATATCACTTCATACTCTTAGAATGGCTATTGTCATAAAAAGCAAAGATAACAGCTTGGTGAGAATGTAGGGAAAAAAAGGAACCCTTGCACACCGTTAGTGGGAATGTACATTAATACAGCCACTATATAAAACAGTGTGGAGGTTACTCCAAAAATTAAAAATAGAACTACCATATGATCCAGCCATCCCACCACTGGGTATATATCCAAGGAATTGAAATCAGTATGTTAAAGAGATGTCTGCACTCCCATGTTTATGGCAGCATTATTCACAATAGCAAAGATATGGAATCAAACTTTGTGTTCATCAATGAATGAATAAATCAAGAAAATGTGGTGTACTATTCACTCGTAACAAAAAAAGGAAACCCTGTCATTTCCAACAACACGGATGAACCTAGAAGCTATGATGTTAAGTTAAATGAGCCAGTTACAGAAAGGCAAATACTACATGATCTCATTTAAATGAGGATCTGAAAAACTTAAACTCATAGAAGCAGAGAGTGGAATGGTAATTACCAGAAGCTGGGGATGGTGGTAAGTTTCCAGACCATAAATTGAGGGATAAGCTCCAGAGTGTTCATACTATTTTTAATTTGCTGAAAATAGAACGATGATAATAATTCATAAACCTAGAATTATGATTATCCCATAAATTTTTTAAAACTAAATATTTTGTCCTATAGACACAACACCTACATAACTTAATTTATCCAATTTTGATCTTACCAATTGAATAAACCAAATTTCAAGTAAATGTGTTCATTTTTATATAGTTTACATCATATATTCATTTTTCAATGTAAATTTAATATAATATATAATTAATCTCCAAATTTTTAAATTTAAAAACTTAAAAAGAAAAAGAAAAGATGAAACCCAACGTCTTTTTTTTTTTTTTTTTTTTTTTTTTTGAGACAAGAGTTTCGCTCGTTTCACAGGCCGGAGTGCAATGGCGCAATCTCGGCTGACCGCAACCTTCGTCTCCCAGGTTCAAGTGATTCTCCTGCCTCAGCCTCCTGAGTAGCTGGGATTACAGGCATGCACCACCATGCCCGGCTAATTTTTTGTTTTTAGTAGAGACGGGGTTTCTCCACATTGGTCAGGCTGGTCTTGAACTCCTGACCTCAGGTGATCCACCCGCTTTGGCCTCCCAAAGTGCTGGGATTACAGGCATGAACCACTGTGCCTGGCCGAAACCTAATGTGTTAAGAGAACTTTTCATGAAATTATTATTTGGATATGCCTCTGACCACAGTCATAGCTTTACTTAATCACCTCTGTGGGGCATCAGTCCTCAAGGTCTAAACCATATCAACATAGGTAGCCTTTAGAGCTGTAAATAAATACTTCCCTGCTACATGTTAATGATTCTTGGAATATACATTGACCAACACAGTGTTCTCCTTGTTTAATTAGGCAAAAATCTAGCTGTAAATATGAATAACAAGAGTATACATTAAAAAGACATCAAATAGCCAACCGAAAATATATTTAACCAAACCTAATTAAGGATTTTCACCAGTCCCACATTTAGTTTACTTCCAATATCCACATTAAATAGAGACTTCTATTAAATCTTATTTCAGCTGTTGCATTTAAGTGTGAATGGCACTGTAGTGTCAGTATGACCAGTGGTTAATCCAATTCTTCAGGGCATTAGTAACTCATCCAACAAGAATTTTTTTCTAATTTATTAATTAAATGAAGAAACGTCATAATGGGAACATGGGTATGTTTGGACTACATGAGAACATGACAGCTCTGAATTCTTCCTTCATGAAAATATATTCTAATCTTTTCAGCTTCTGGTAAGTATTCTCTGCTATCTCTAACAGAGGATGACTCCAGGTAGAAAACAGATCCTAGATAGCGTAAGACTCAGTCTAACATGAAAGCAAAAATGTGAAAGGTATGTGAGATATAAATAATACTAACATTTTGAGGATTAAATATAAATTTAATCCTCAGGAGTGAGGATTAAACTTCAACAAGAGCAGTTAGTGGATTTTGAAGTTACTGAATGCTCTCTATGCACCAAGCATCATGCTAAATATTTAGCATAGCATGTAATCCTCCTCATAGCCATCCTACAAAGCAGGTGCTATTAGAATAGCTATTTTACAGATGAGGAATCAGAGGCTAAAGAAGTTAATTAGCCTGCTCAAGTCCACAGAGTAAGGAAATGGCTGAGATCAATTGTAACAAAAATCACAGGCGGTCTGAACCAGTCTAGGGTCTTACCTATTTTTATTTCGTCCTTTCATCTTGAATTTTGTATGACTACAGCAATATACCTCATGCTTTATAATAAAAGATCCATATATTTTTACTTTTTATAAAATTTTAGACAGTTTTGAAATTTTGTGCTTCTAATTTTCTCTCAATATCATAAATTATGTTGAAATATGTTTGGTTCATTTGTCTCAGATTTCACTGGAGAAAGCAAAATGTTAAGTTATGCGCGATTATTGGGCTCTGAAGTCCATACTATGAAAAATGAAAAACTGAGTTTCGATTAAAATGTAGCATGCCTCTTTTTTGCCATCTATTTCTTCAGCTGGAGTGTTGTAAGTCTCATTTCAAATAACACATTCACTTTTAAATTGAAATTAAAATATCTGGTTTGAGATCCAAAGCTTAAATCAATATGAAAATGTTAAAAAGTATTAAATGAAAAGTCCTGTATTTGAGTTCACAACATTAAACTACATAAATTGTCATGCCTGACTTGGCAGCATTTCTAATAAGAATGCCTAGGGCTTTACGTGATCCAAAGTTTAAAGAGAGCCAGTAATGTCTTATACCTGCTAAAAATAACCAACGTATATTTTAGAAAATTATGCAGATCATAGACATTCACTATTCTCTTCAGTAGTGTTGCATAAGTGGAGTATCGTGCTTACTTTTATACTCACTAATTTGCAGCACTTGACAAATCATGGTGTGTCCAGGGAGAGCAACAAGAAAAAGCATGGTAATAAAAGAGCATGTAGTGGTAGGAACAGCTAACAATGTGCTTTGTCTGGGAAGAGAAATCTAAGCATATATTTGGTAACAGTTTCTAATATTAAAAGAGAGTTAAAAGGTATATAAAAAATTTTTAGTAAGCCAAACTATACAATATTGTCTAGAGGTGCACATTTGGGTAATTAACCTACTAACATGCAAAGAGGGGATTACTATAAATAGCAGCATAGTGGATACTTCAGGGGATAGGGAAGAGTTATCATTGGTAAAAGGCACAAAGAAAAGCTCCTAGGGTAATCATCAATGTTTTATTTATTGATTTAGGTGATAGTTACAAGAATATACACTGAAACTCACCAAGCTTTACTTTTTATTTGTTGTATCCATGCACTGTTCATATAATAATACTGGGGTTTTTATGAGGCCATGTTAAATTGACTTACTCTGTGTTATTTTCAGAATAAAGAAAATCAGCCAGGGCTGGGCAAGGAATCATCTTTGAGTTCAATATAAGCAGCATTGACTAAAGGAGAGAGGCTGCTTCAAGTGTAATTGACTTCCCTGTCACTGAAGTTATGCCAGTAGCAGCTGTGTAGCGATTCTGTTGAAGGATCTCCTATGCAGAGCAGAAGGCTAGATTCATGACTTCTGAGGTTTTTTTCCACTTTGAAATTCATGACCTTTTAATTCCCAACACAAACCCAACAGCAGTCAAAAGAATTTGAGTGAATTTTTTAATCAAAGCATTTGGAGACCTCAAGTCATCTCCTGCTCCTGAAGCTTTTCAGTTCAATGTGCATATTGTGATTCTGCATATTTTTGTGTATATAAAAATGTTTCTAAATTTTAAAGTTACACAAATTTTTTAAAAAACATTCCAGTTTAGTTCTAGGTCATTGCGGTAAAATCACTAGTGTGAAAAATTAATGGACTAAGGGGTAGACAGAATAACAATGACAGGTGAATATAGGTTATCATTTTTAGAATTAAAGATGAACCAAGCTCAGTTCCAAGTGCTTTTATAAATATTAACCCTCACAACATCCCTTTGAGGAAGGAAATTTTATTATATTTTCTTCATGTATAAAGAACCTCCTACACAAACAAGTTAAATAATTGCCCAAGGATACAGCTTCCAAGTGGTGAAGCTGGAATTTGATGCCAGGGACTTTGAGTTCAGAATCTGTGCAATGAAGCACTATCATTCCTTAGTTGACAACCTATTGCGAAAAATAAAAAAACTGGACACTTATTAATTAGATTTCCATTTTTGTGCTGTGAAAAACTACACCTCTATCTCATACTACTTGATAACATTTCCTTCTTTATGATTATAACATTATTCTGTTCTAACTGAAACACTTATAACAATGACATATATAAATGATCTATCTTCCCCTTGTTTTACTATATACCAGAAACAAATGAGGTTTCTATTCCATGGCCTCAAGGACACTATAAATGTAAAGTATGGTAGGTCTGAATTTCGTGGTCAGAAATTATCAGCAGAAAAAATGTTTAAACTAATTCAGCCATTAGCTCGACACCAGGGCTCAGGCCGAAGCAGGAGGATTGCTTGAGCCAAGGAGTTCCAAACCAGCCTGAACAACATGGTGAGACCTCATCACTACAAAAACATTTAAAAATTACCTGGACACAGTGGCATGCATCTGTGGTCCCAGCTACTTAGGAGGCTCAGTTGAGAGGATCACTTGAGCACCGGAGGTCCAGGCTGCAATGAGCTGTCACTGTGTCACCGCACTCCAGCCTAGGCAACAGAGCAAGATTTTTGTTTTGTTTGGTTTGGTTTTTTTGAGACAAGAGTCTCGTTCTGTCGCCCCGGCTGGAGTGCAGCGGTGCGATCTCGGCTCACTGTGGCCTCCGCCCCCAGGTTCAAGCAATTGTCCTGCCTTAGCCTCCCAAGTAGTTGGGACTACAGGCACGCACCACACCGCCCAGCTAATTTTTGTATTTTTAGTAGAAAATACAAAATTTTTCCCCACGTAGGCCATGCTGGTCTGGACTCCTGACATCAAGTGATCCGCCCACCTCAACCTCCCATAGTGCTGGGATTACAGGCATGAGCCACTGCATCCGGCCAACAGAGCAAGAATCTATCTTTAAAAAAAACAAACAACAACAACAAAAAAAAACTAACTCAGTCAGTCATTAAATATTTTGTCTACTTAGTGATATGATACAATAATCAGAAATGGTGAGATTGATGACATTTTTATCTGTATCTGTATTCTTTTAGAGCCCAATGGGGTGATGGTTTTACCTAAAGGATTTCAAAGCAATCAGAACATCCACTCATGTTGGATTGGTAAATTCCATAGATTAAAACAACTCTGGCTATTTAATGAACTGCTTTTTGTTTGAATTACCTGCCCAGCGCCCAGCTAATTCTGCTGAATGGCTGGTAAGTAGGATTGGACACAGATCGTTGTACGTGGTGGCCAAATAGTTCTGGAATTACCTCAATATTTAACTGCAACAAATCAGTAAGGCTGTTTAGATGGTGTAATATTAGTCATTAAAGCTGTTTAAAAAACATATAGGCCTTTATACATGTAAGTAAATATTAATAAGAAAGATAATTATTTCCTGGCAACAAAAAACACACTCACAAAAAAAGGCAGTGTAGTAGGGAACACCAAAATTGATAGAATAACAACAGTGCCTGCAATGTTGAGGGGTAAAAAAAATATAAGGAGGAGGAGTAAGTTGGTGGTGAGGATAATTATAATTATAATGGCTGAAATGTAGATATTTGCAAGTAAATATTGAAAGTGATTCTGCTATCAAATGGTGGAGTTTATTCCAAAAAAAGATGTCATTTAACTTTTTACCTCAAGCTTAACTCCTTCAATAATGCAAGGATTTATCATGATCAAGTGATGCTTATGTCATAGCTTCAAAGAGGAACAACTCCTCAATACATATGCCTCTCTTAAAATCACATAATTGACTTCATGATTTTATTACTTAATTGAAATACATAGAACAATGAATGACATAGCAAATTAAGTTTTTTCAATGATTTACAATTCAGCCTGATTGGATTTAGCATATTATTAATTTTGGATTAAATATGAACAAGTTGTGAGCACTGGGCCATAGGGAAATGTTAAAAGAGATGTTCCAAATGAGAGAGAGCATGCAAATAAGAGAGTTTTGGATACCCTTGAGAAACTTCAGAGATTTTCAGTTCTACCTAAACCTGACACTATTTTTGGTTACCATGATATTGCCTGCTAGCTTTTCTTAAGGAACAATGGAAACAAGCAGTGTAAGTTCTGGAACAGATTTCATCCTTCTGGGGTTTTCTGATCGACCCCAATTAGAGCACATCATCTCAGTGGTTGTCTTCATCATCTATATTGTGACTCTGGTAGGAAATACAACCATCATTCTTGTATCTTATCTAGACACCCAGCTCCATACCTTCATGTATTTTTTCTTATCCAATTTGTCTTTCTTGGACCTCTGTTATACAACTAGCATTATCCCCCAGATGCTGGCAAATCAATGGGGCCCAAAAAAATCTATTACTTATGGAGGGTGTGTACTCCAATTCTTTTTTGTCCTTGACTTGGGAGCCACAGAATGTCTTCTGTTGGCTGTGATGGCCTATGATCGTTATGCTGCTGTCTGTCAACCTCTTCACTACACCTTAAAATGCACCCTCAGCTTTGCCACTGCCTGGTTGAGTGGTCTTGCCAGTGCCTTAATTGTTTGCTCCTTGACTTTGAAGTTGCCAAGATGTGGGCACCGGGAAGTGGATAATTTTTTCTGTGAGATGCCAGCATTGATCAAGATGGCTTGTGTCTATTCAAAAGTAATTGAGATTGTTGTCTTTGCTTTCGGAGTGGTATTTCTTTTCGTACCTCTATCACTAATTCTTATCTCATATGGAGTTATCACTCAAGCTGTAATGAGGATCAAGTCAGCAACAAGGTTGCAAAAGATCCTTAATACATGTGGCTCCCACCTCACAGTAGTAATTCTGTTTTATGGAACAATCATTTATATATACATGAAGCCACAGAATACCATATCCCAAGATGAAGGGAAGTTCTTCACTCTTTTACACAATCATCACACCCAGCCTTAACCTTCCCATCTACACTTTAAGAAACAAAGATGTAAAGAGTGCACTGAAGAGAATACTGTGGATGAAAAAATCTTCAGCAGAATCATGAATTAGATGGAAAAAAGTAGAATGTAGAGCACTAAAGAAATATTGGCATTTATCAAGAGAAGTGAAATCAATTCATTTATCCAAAGCACATTCACGCTCAAAGCTTGGTGCTCTTAAATGACAAAAGAAAATTTAGCAAGCTTATGTTTTTACTTTGCTTTACTTTGTTTTACTGGTAAATACATTCAAAATCTGGAAATCCCTGTGCTAGAGAATAAACGACTCCACTTCTCTGCAAATCAGCCATTTCAGAGATTGAAAATCCTCTCTGCAAGTGAAAGATTCCCCATATCTATAGTGCCCTTGCTATGTCATTTCAAAGACAGAGTAAGCCACAGCTTACATGAAGTAATTGAGTAGGAAGATGGGAGTAATAGGGCTTATGATGTCTCTACAATCCTTAAACCCTGTGGCTTCTAAATTTCCACAGCAAGAACATCATACCTTTATTTCAAGGTTTTGATTCCTCTTTTACTTTTATTTTAGGTTTGGGGGTACATGTGAAGGTTACATAAACACGTGTCATGGGGGGTTATTATACATCTTATTGCATCACCCAGGTGTTAAGCCCAGTACCTAATAGTTATCTTTTCTTTGCAGATGACTCTAAAATTGTCAGTTGTACATACCTTGGTAAACATAAAAAAATATGAGAGAGGACAGTGAAATCAGGATAAGGAAAGCATGAAGACACTGTAAACTTCATGGTGTCATAAGGACTATGGAAGAAAGACAAAAGTATAGAATGATAAAATTGTGGCCACTAAAAAAGAGTATCAATTTTCCTTTGTTAAAAATGAGTGATCCTAAATCTTGCTAGGCATTTATCACTTAAAAACCTTCTATTCAACCTTCATACCCTGCTGAAATCTTGTCTCAACTGAAAAGTATTTATGAATCTCATCAGTCTATGGTCTATAGTCCTTGAAAACCCTGACCATATAAGTATAGGGCATTATCCCATTTTTATTTAGTTGTTTGTATGTGTGTTTGAAGAAGATGCATTGGTAAGCTTTTCAACAATATAGACCTTCTTATTCACGTGATTTTGCTGTGTCGAATCAGTTTCTGACATGAATTACATAGCCAATAAATGTCTGTAGAATGAATATGTCAATGTTTTTTATTAAATCTCCATGAAAATGTTACCAAATCTGCAGAATATCACAAATTCTCATTGGGTGATGAATATTAGAGCAATATCTTCAGTTTGTGTTAACACTGAAGATATATAAATCATCTAACACCTAAAATGTAATATATTTAAACATCTATGAGTTAGCAAAGGAAAAGATACAGTTTTTCTTTCACATACATATTATAGAATACATACATAATATTATAGAATCTTTACAACATCCCCTAGAGGTATATATAAGTACATAATGGAAACTAGAAAATAAGAGAAATAAAAGAAATTGCTCATTATCTTATCCCAGAAATGACTAAATTTTTAAATTAATTTTCTTTTAAAGTACTGTCATCTATTAAAATTTGGTTTAATAGTTTGTCTTATTTCTCTCAATATATGCCTTCATATCAGGGATGATATCATCCCCACAGGGGCAAAATTGATTCAAGGGGAGGTAGCAAAAATCTTTGGTATTACAATGGTTGGTGGTCCTCCAAAGAGCCTCTGTACATAAGCAGTTACACAATATAACTGTGGCACTAAAATTTTGTTAGAAATGAAATAACTATAATGAAAAAGTTTGAGAAAACACTTAATTTGGTGCTTTTTCCTATTTGAAAAGATGATTAAAAGAAAGACTCCCTTAGGCCAAAATGATTGACAAGGATATGCACATCCAATACACAGAATTAGTAAACTTCTAGATTGGCAATTGAAAACTGCATTCAGTAATGGTCTTCAGTTTCAGGTTAAAATGCTGGAAATTCTCTGTTATATTGGGGATTTTTTTTTTAAGTTTGATGAAAAAATCATGCCCCAAAGAGTTTTTTTAATGATAAAATTCTTGAGTTTATAGGATAGTATATAAAAAAAGAAACAACTTGCTGAAAAGTTGAAACTGAAATTGTGCCCCAAAGAATAGGAAACCAATAACTAACAGAAATCTTGAGTTTGCCAGATAGCAGATAAGAAAATAAATAACTTGCTGAAACGCTGAAATTCCCTCCATTTGTGAGATAACAAGAGTGTCCAAAATTAGTTGGAACCAACATGACCAAATGGAGTTTGCACAGAACAAGCTTGTTAATGTCACAGCCCGATTTCCACTGCATGTTTCATACTAACTCCCTTTGAATTTGCATGTGGGACCCATGAAGAGGAATGGAGATAACTGTGCATTTGAGGACTTTCTAGACCTCCCTTTTCCTTCCACCAACCACCTGCTAATCCCAGAATCCACCCGCAAACCTTTTCTAATAAAATTACTATCTTAAAGCCAGCACAGGGAGATACAGTTGAGCTAGATTCCTGTCTCCTTATTGGTCAACCTATAATAAAGAGCTTTTCTTTTCTTAGAAATCCAGTGTCATAGTATTAGCTTCTAGCACATCCAGCAGTGAGCCCCTTTTGCCTGGTAACAATAACATAATATAGTATCAAGAATTTGTGACTGGGCATGGTGGCTCACGCCTGTAATCCCAACACTTTGGGAGCCTGAGGTGGGCAGATCACAAGGTCAGGAGTTCAAGACCAGCCTGGCCAATATGGTGAAACCCCATCTCTACTAAAAATAGAAAAAGTAAGCTGGGCGTGGTGGTGGGCACCTGTAGTCCCAGCTACTCCGGAGGCTGAGGCAGGAGAATGGCTTGAACCCAGGAGGTAGAGGTTGCAGTGAGCCGAGATTGCACCACTACACTCCAGCCTGGGCAACAGAGCAAGACTCCATCTCAAAAAAAAAAAAAAAGAATTTGAGGAAACAATATCTCATTTATTTCTGGTTGTATTAGTTATCTGCTGCTACATGAACTTTTTTTTAAAGAAACAAACAGAACTTCTAGACATGATCAGTATAGGCTGAAAATCCCTTATCCATAATTCTGAATCTAAAATGGTCAGAAATGCAAAGGCATAAGAACGATACATTGGACTTTGGGGACTCGGGGAAAAGGGTGGGGGCTGGTGAGGGATAAAACACTACACACTGTGTACAGTGTACACTGCTCAAATGATGGGTGCACCAAAATCTCAGAAATCGCCACTAAAGAACTTATTCATGTAAGGAAACACCACCTGTCCCTCCAAAACCCTATTGAAATAAAAAAATTAAAATAAACAAAAATAAAATGGTCAGAAAACTAAAAGCTTTCCTTTTTTTCTTTGAGACAGGGTCTCACTATGTTACCCAAGCTGGTCTCAAACTCCTGGCCTCAAGCAGTTCTCTCAAGTAGCTGGTATTACTGGTGAGAGCTACCACACCCAGGTAGAAAACTAAAAGTTTTCATAACTCTGTTGGCAACAAAACCTGACCTGAACTGAGGTAGGACTATTTCTATCTATTCTTTACTTTCAGTTTTATTAAACAAGAGAGACTGTATGTTAAAAGAATAGAGTTCCTTTTAAGAAAAAATAATATCAGCTATTTGTCATTTGTCAGAAATGGCAGATATTTTTTAAAGAGGACACTCACTGTTATCACTAATTTATAAAACCATAGTTTCTTTCGAGTTGAAGATTCAAGAGCAATTAGAACATGTCTGTTTTAAAATATGGTAGTCACTAGGTGTAGCATCAAAAGAAAAACTATCAAAGAATAATAAAACTTTAAATTATTCTTTTTAACTTAAATGGATGTGTATTTTAAACTATTTTTATCTAAGATATTAAGTTAACATTTAAAGTTGGCCACATGAAAAGATAGGTCACATTTCATGTTCTTGTGAGTCAACTGAAATACTGAAGGAAAAAAAAAGTTTGTTTCCTTGCTAGTCATTGTACCTTGCTGGCTAGAAATGTTCCATGGAATGTGTGAGAGTTTGGTTCCAAAATGGCTGCATATAAGGAAGCTGGCTTTATTTTTCCTCCACAGAAAACCTACAACAAATACACGGTGCTGAGATTATCACCAGCAATATCCCAGAACTCAAATATGAAGATGGAACAGTGCCCGTGGCAACAAAGAAGTAAAAAACTTCAAGCAGACGCTGTAAGAATCAGACTTCCAAATCCGTGACATCCCTCTCCCAAATCTGCCTAGCACCAAGCATGTGGAAAACTTCCCCCACCTCACCGCCAGTTTCTACACTGGAAAAAGTGAGATTGAAGTGGATAACCAGTTTCCCCACCATCTTGGATTCCCTGGCAAGAGATCTGTCCCTAAGTACTTAAAGGGAGAAATATTCCCAAAGACAACCAGAGAAAAAGTGGGGAGGTGGGACTTCCTTCCCCAACCCTAGAAACACTCTTCTTTAACTCAGCCAAAGGAGACGCCAAATCAGCGAAGCTGGTCAGCAGCGACACACCATAGGAGGTATGTTCCACAGGTTCCCTGAGCACGAAATTCTAGCCAGACTTCCCACCCTATTGGGATATCCCCCGTAAGACCTTCTACATTTGGGTCCGGCAGTGCTCCAGTCATTTACTAGGGCCAAGGAAAACCTGGACTGCAGACTCCATGTGATGTCAGAAAGAAGGCAAGACCAAGAGGGCGAAAAAAAAGTAGATGCTGTCATGCTTTCTGTACAGCCTGCAGAACCATGAGCTAAGTAAACCTCTTTTCTTTATAAATTACTCAGTCTCATGTGTTTCTGTATAGCAGTGTGAGAACAGACTAATATACATGACTTCCCCAAACAGACAAAGCAAGGAACCAATGACTTACCCTAGGCAAGACAGTGGTATGTGAGCTCTCTCACCAAGAATTCAAAATAGCAGTTTTAAAGAAACTCAGTGAACTCAAGGATAACACACAAAAGCAATTCAAAAATTTATCAGAGAAATTTAACAAAGAGATTAAAATAATTTTTTAAAATCAAACAAAAATCTTGGAACTGAGAAATATACTTGTCAAACTGAAAAATTTATTAGAGACTCTCGACAGCAGAATGGATCAGACAGTGGAAGGAATTAGTAAACTCAGACAGGCTATTTGAAAATACAGTTAGAGGAGAAAAAAGGGAAACGAATACAAAGGAATGAAGATCACCTAAATAATATAGAAAAGTACCTCAAAAGGACAAATCTAAGAATGATTGGTGCTCAAGAGGGAATTCAGAAAGAGCAAAAATTAGAAAGCTTATCCAAAGAAATAACTCAAAACTTTCCAAACTTAAGAAATATATAAGTATCTAGGTACAAGATTAGAGAACATGAAACAGATTCAACCCAAATAAGACCACCCCAAGACATACAATAATCAAATTCTCAAAGGTCAAGGACAAAGAGGATTACAAAAGTTGGCTGGGCACCATGGCTCATGCCTATAATCCCAGCACTTTGGGAGGCCAAGGCAGGTGGATCACCTGAGGTCAGGAGTTCGAGATCAGCCTGGCCAACATGGTGAAACCCTGTCTCCACTAAAAATACAGTAATTAGTGGGGCATGGTAGTGGGTGCCTGTAATCCTAGCTACTCAGGAGGCTGAGGCAGGAGAATCGCTTGAACCCGGGAGGCAGAGGTTGCAGTGAGCCGAGATAGCACCATTGCACTCCAGCCTGGGTGACAAGAGTAAAACTCAGTCTCAAAAAAAATAAAATAAAATAAAAAATAAAAGCAGCAAGAGAAAAGAAGTAAATAACATACAAAGAGCTCCAATTATTCTGGCAACAGACTCCTCAATGGAAACTATACAGGCCAGGTAGATGTGGGATGGCATTTTCAAAGTGCTAAAAGAAATAAAACCGCCATCCAAGATTAATGTACCAGAAAAGCTATTCTTCAAACATGAAGAAGACATAAAATCTTTCCTTGACAAACAAAAGCTGAGAATTCACTACCACCAGGCCTATCTTAAAATAAATGGCAAATGAAGTCCTTCAATCTAAGAGAAAAAGATGCTAACATGCATAAAGAAAATATTTGAGGAAAAAAACCACTGGTAACATTAAGTACAAGACATACCCAGGATACTCTAATACTCTAATTGTGGTGTGCAATCCATTTATAACTGTAGTATGAAATCTAAAAGACAAACCTATCAAAAACAATAATTGCTACAGTGACCTGCTAAGAGATAGACAATATAAAAATATGTAAACCGAGACAACAAAAAGTCAAGATGTAGGGGTATAGAGTTAAAGGGCAGGGATTTGTGGGGGTTATTTAAGTTTTTTTGTTTGTTTCTAGTCTTTTCTTTGTGATCAAAGTTAAGTTGTCATCTTTGTAAAATATCAGCTGCGCGCCATGGCTCATGCCTGTAATCCCAGCACTTTGGGAGGCCAAGGCTAGCTAATCACTTGAGCTCAGGAGTTCAAAACCACTCTGGGCAACATGGCAAAACCTCATCTCTACAAAAAATACAAAACTTAGCTGGCTATGGTGGCATGTGTCTATGGTATCAGCTACTCAGGAGACTGAGGTAGGAGGATTGCCTGAGTTCAATAAGGTAGAGGCTGCAGTAAGCCAAGATCTCACCACTGCACTCCAGCCTGGGTGACAGAGACCCTGTATCAGAATAATAAGTAATAATAAAACAAAGTAGCTATAAGATATGTTTTGTAAGCCTCATGGTAACCCCAATGCAAAAATCTGTAATTAATACACTAAAAATAGAAGGCAGTGAATTAAAGCATTCTACCAGAGAAAATAACTTAACCACAAAGAAATACAGTAGCAAAAGAATAAAGGAAGAAAGACGTTACAAAACAACCAGAAAACAAGCAACAAAATGGCAGTCATAAGTCCTTACTTATCAATAATAACACTGAATATAAATGGACCAAATTCTCCAATTAAAAGATGTATAGAAGTTAAATGGGTAAAGAGACGAGACCCAACTATGTGGTGCTACAAGAACCCACCTTGCCTATAGGGACATACATAAGTTGAAAGTGAATTTATGGAAAAAGATATTCCATGCAAGTGGAAATCAAAGAGAACAGGATTAGGTATACTTATATCAGATAAAACAGACTACAAGTCAAGGAATGTAAAAAGTGACAAAAGGTCACTATATAATGATGAAGGGGTCAATTCATCAAGAGGATATTAAAAATTATAAATATCTGTGCACCCAACACCAGAGCATCCAAATATGTAAAACAAACATTAATAAATCTCAAGGGAGAGATAGGCTCCAATATAATAATAGTAGGGACTTCAACACCTCACTTTCAGTAACAGATTATCCAGGGAGAAAATCAATAAAGAAACATTGGAATTAAGCTACACACTAGACCAAGTAGGCCTGACATTTATAGAACATTTCACCCAGCTGCTACAGAGTACACATTCTTTTCACTTGCACATGGCACATTCTCCAGAACAGACCATATCTTAAGTCACAAAAGAAGTCTCAGCAAATTCAAAAAAGTAAAAATTATATCAAGTATCTTTTCTGATCACAATGGAATAAAACCAGAAATCAACAAGAGGAACCTTGGAAACTATACAAACACATGGAAATCAACATGCTCCTACAACCAATGGGTCAATGAATAAGCTAAGAAAATTTTAAAAATTTCATGAAACTAGTGAAAATAGATATACAACATACCGAAGCCTACAGAATACAGCATAACAATAACTTTATAGCAATAAACACCTACATCAAAAAAGGGAAAAGACTTCAAATAATCAACCTAAAAATGGATCTCAAGGAACTCAAAAAAGCAAGGATGAACCAAATCCAAAATTAGTAGAAAGAAATAAATATCAGAACAGACATAAATGAAATTGAAACTAAAACATAAATACATTTGATCAATGAAATGAAAAGTTGATTTTTTGAAGATAGACAAAATTAACAAACCTTTCCCTAGACTAAAAAAGAGAAACCCAAATAAATCAATCAGAAAGAAAAAAAAAGAGATATAACAGACCACAAAAATACAAAGAATCAGAGAATATGAACAACTATACACCAACAAATTGGAAAACATAGAAAAAATGGATAAATTATTAAACATATACAACGTACTAAGATTGAACCATGAATAGAAACCCTAACAAACCAATAATGAGTAATGAAATTGAAGCCTTAATAAAGTCTCTCATCAAAGAAAAGCCCAGGACATTATGGCCTCACTGCTGAATTCTAGCAAATATTTAGAGAACTGATACCAATTCTACTCAAACTCTTTTAAAAAAAATTGAAGAGGAGGGTATTCCTCTAAACTCATTCTACAAGGCCAGCATTGCCCTGATGTGAAAACCAGACAAGGATACAGCAAAATCTGTGTCAGAAATCAAATCAAAAACAAAACTACAGGCCAAAATCCCTGATGAACATAGATACAAAAATTCTCAAAATAACTAGCAACCCCAATTCAACAACCAAGAAGATCGCTCATGATGAGTGTGATTCATGAATACTGCATGTTCTCACTCCTATGTGGGAGCTAAAACAGAAGATCTCATGAAGCTAGGGAGTACAATGGTGGTTATCAGGGCCTGGAAAGAGGAGGGAAGACGTGGGATAAAGAGAGGTTGGTTAAACGGTATAAGTATACAATTAGGTAGAAGAAAGACAACCAGAGTTCAATAGATCAGTAGGGTGACTATAATCTATTAGACACTTCTGGCTGGGCGCGGTGGCTCACGCCTGTAATCCCAGCACTTTGGGAGGCAGAGGTGGCCGATCACGAGGTCAGGAGTTCAAGACCAGCCTGACCAACATGGTGAAACCCCGCCTCTACTAAAAATATAAAAATTGGCCCGGTGTGATGGCGTATGCCTGTAATCCCAGCTACTTGGGAGGCTGAGGCAGGAGAATCGCTTGAACCCAGGAGGCAGCGGTTGCAGTGAGTCGAGATCACGCCATTGCACTCCAGCCTGGGTGACAGTGCTAGACTCTGTCTCAAAATAATGTTAGACATTTCAAAATATCTAAAAGATTGCTTGATATATATTTAGATATAACTAGAAAAAAATTTGAACGTTCCAAGCAAAAAGGACATTTAAGTTTATACATATATATACACACACACACAAATTATCCTTATCTTTGACCTTTATACGTTATGTATCAAAATATTACATGTACCCTCAAAATACATACATTAAAAAAATGAGAAATAGAAAAATCAAAAAAAAAAGTTCCATGAATTCTGAACACAAATGTGGCCCCCCATTGCTTGTTATTTGTCTGTTCATCATCCCCCACTTGCAGTATTAAAATGTCAGTGTTTCCATTTAGGGATCCCCTTCTGCCTGAATAATCCCCAAATCTGATTCAAAAAATTAGTTCTTACCAGTTTGCACACTCAAGAAAGCACCTGAGCCCAAGTCCACTACGGCCATTTTGTCACTGCCACAAGGTGGCGCTATTGAAAAATGGTCCACATTACTAGCACTCACCGTCCCCATTGTAATGAGAACAAACTTCGGATCTCTGCACAAGCCACAGTGGTCCTTCTAAGGAGGTAGACAGACCTCTCACCCTGCACCCACTTCTTCATGGCAGTTGCATCTCAGTGAGCCTTGAGTTCGTTCATGAGTGGCTGATCTTTGTTTTCACGTCTTAAGTCTGAAAGCACCCATCTCCATCAGAGAGCCTGCCGCTCAGTAACTCCGGCCGAATTTGTTCGGGTGTGAGGTTTAAGGCCCTAATCGCTGTTCTCTCTTCCTCTTTGGGCACCCCCATCTCCGAAGCGTCAGTTTTTCTTTCACCTATCCGCAACATAAAGTGTTACTAATGACACTCCTCGCCCAGAAGACGGCGCTCCGGGCCTGCACACGCTGGTGCCTCCGGCGAGCGCTGGACCCCAGGGCCACTTAGAGCCTTGGCGTTCGTTTTAGCTCTTAACGGCGACCAAGACGTCTTCCTCCTCTGCGACAGTGTGGGGAAGGGAGAACGAGAATAACCCACGTTTGGCCAGGAAAAGCTCCCCCTCTATGTAACTTGTAAGGAACCTCCCAGCAAGCAAGTGGCGTGTGCCCGGGTCTCCGTTCCCCGAGACGCGGGATCCCGGGCGGGAGGGCTAGTCTATCCCATTTGCCTCCACTCCTCTCGGAATACGTTGGAGTCTTCCTTTCTGGTGTCTCCGACTTCGCAGTAACTTAGAGGTGTCTCTGATGAGAATGCAGCCCTGGGTGTGGCTCTGACCACCTCAAGCACCATCCCGACCCTTCCTTGTACGTCTTCCCGCAACCTCCTGCGGAAAAGCAATGTGTCAGAAATTTGTGAGTTCTTGGCATGATTCTAGAATGAAGCTGCAGACCCTCAGGGTATTAGTTCTAAAAAATGTGTCTGGAGTTTGTTCCTTCTGATAGTCAGACGTGTTTGGAGTTTATTCCTTTTGGTGGGTTCGTCGACTAGCTAGCTTCAGAAGTGAAACCGCAGACCTCTACAATGAGTGTTACAGCTCTTAAGGCGGCATATCTGGAACTGTTTGTTTTTCCAGGTGGGTTCGTGGCCTCGCTGACCTCAAGAGTGAAACTACAGGCCCTCACAGTGTTACACCTCACAAAACAAAATGCAGATCCAAGCAGCTAATAGTAAAAAATAAAACCACCACAATGTGAAACAGGACAAAACAAATTACAACGGCCAACTCCGGTAACCTGCTTTTATTCCCTTATCTGGCCCCACCCACATCCTGCTGATTGGTCCATTTTACAGAGAGCCGATTGGTCCGTTTTGACAGGGTGCTGATTGGTGTGTTTACAATCCCTGAGCTAGACACAAAAGTTCTCGAAGTCCCCACTAGATTAGCTAGACACAGAGCACTGATTGGTGCATTTACAAACCTTGAGCTAGGCACAGAGTGCTGATTGGTGTATTTACAAACCTTGAGCTAGACACAGAGTGCTGACTGGTGTATTTACAATCCCTTAGATAGACATAAAGGTTCTCCAAGTCCCCACCAGATTAGCTAGACACAGAGTGCTGATTGGTTTGTTTACAAACCTTGAGCTAGACACAGAGTGCTGATTGCTGTATTTACAATCCCTTAGCTAGACATAAAGGTTCTCCAAGTCCCCACCAGTTTAGCTAGATACAGAGTGCTAATTGGTATATTTACAATCCCTTAGCTAGACATAAAGGTTCTCCAAGTCGCCACTAGACTCAGGAGTCCAGCTGGCTTCACCTGGTGGATCCTGCACCCGGGCCGCAGGCGGAGCTGCCCGCCAGTCCCGCGCGCCGTGCGCCCGCACTTCTCAGCCCTTGGGCGGTGGATGGGACGGGAAGCCGTGAAGCAGGGGGCGGCAATCGTCGGGGAGGCTCCGGCGGCGCAGGAGCCCACCGCGAATTCTCGGGCATGGCAGGTTGCAGGTCCCAAGCCCTGCCCCGCGAGGAGGCGGCTGAAGCACGCGAGCGCGGCGCGGGTGGGCCGGCAGCGGTGGGGGACCCAGCGCCCCCTCCGTAGCTGCTGGCCCGGGTGCTAAACCCCTCACTGCCCGGAGCGGTGGCGCCGGCCGGCCGCTCCGAGTGTGGGGCCCCCGGAACCCGCGCCCACCCGGAACTCGCACTGGCCCGCAAGAGAGTTCCCGCCTCTTCCTCCACACCTCCCCGCAAACAGGGAGCCGGCCTCGCCAGCCCAGAGAGGGGTTCCCACAGTGCAGCGGCGAGCTGAAGGGCTCCTCGAGCGCGGCCAGAGTGGGCGCCGAGGCCGAGGAGGCGCGGAGAGCGAGCGAGGCCTGGCACCACGCTGTCACCTCTCGGCAAGGCGAGATTCCGCGCGGAGGAAAGAGGCGCGCTGTCCGGGGACGGGAGGCTGGCGGCAACCGCTACAGGGTCGTAACAAAACAAGTCCCTAGGGGAACTGAGTGGAATTGCGTCCTTTAGCTCTCCAGAGCTCTCTAAGCTCCTTGAAGGGCCAGAGGCTGAGCCCACCTTGGGACATAATTAGTAAGCCTGACTCAGTGACATGGCCCTGCCAAAAGAAAATATTCCCTGAAGGAACAACCTTCTCTCGCATTCTGGTGCCTAAGGAGGTGCAGCTTGAATGTGAGACTGAATTAGGACAGAACTGAAGGCCCCTTGAGCCACACTGGTATTGAGAGGGTATAAGGGACTGCAGGAAAAAGGGATGTCAGAGAGAAAGAATCCCATTTACAAAAGCGTTACCATGTAGGCAGGGTTTAGCTTTGGGTAATGAATGACTCAGTTCTGTGGCTGGAAAAATACACAAAGAGGATTATTAGAAAAGTTTCTGATTATTTGGTTCATCAAAAGGACATTTCTGCCTACTTCCTAGTTATAGTATGAGTTTATGAAATTTGGGATCATAGAAGAAAGTAAAAATTCTATTAGAGAACAGACACAAGGGCTGACAGTTCTTTGTGACACCTCAGAAACTGTTATTCCAAAATCCTATTTGCAATCAGTTGGGTTACAGCCTCCTGAGATTCACCCTCCTGATTCTGGCCCTGAGCTAGGTTTGTCCAGAGATTAATAAGTTTGTGATCTTTCTGTCCTTCAGCCTTGGTTTAACTGGAATAATAAGTGAGATGAGGAAATGACTAATAGAGCTCATCTTGAGTGTATGTTTTTTTAAAAAACCCATTCTTCCAGTGGGCTGGAAGGGGTAGTGGGAAACATTCAACAACATCTGCCCACACCAGGCCTGCCTCAACTTAATCCTTTCTCAGCTACTCTTCCCAGGTAGAGCCATCATTAATCTGATTGGTCATGTTCTAGGACATCAACAAGGTCTTGATATCTGGTGGAAAGTTTAAGACTTTGTCTTGCTTTTCCTCTCCTCTGGGCCCAAAGAGCATGAGACAGCTAAACTTGGATCTTCTCTGTAGACCCAGCCATGTTGCTTCCTGCTTTTTCTCAACTTATTTCCTCCATGTAGCTGGCCAGCAGTTGACACAAGCCTAAGACTTAGGACAAAGTTAAAGGCACCACTGGAGGTTAAATCTAGGCTACATGCTCCAACAGAGATCTGAACTTCTGCAAGAGATTTGAACTTCTCCATGGGTGATTATTTGATTATCTGAGCACTCACTTAGCTCTTTATAAATTAGTAGTTCCATTTAGTTTAACAAAGTTTTTGAGATCATGGGCTCAGGAACTAGATGACTTGGTTTCAAATCCTACCACCTACCTGCTATGTGACTTTTTCTGTCTCATATTCCTCATCTCTAAGATAGAAATAGTAATTTCTGAGTCATAAATTTGCTGCAAGGATGTGGTACAACGGGCCTTGCAATAAATTCTACAACATCACATAGTATGAACGAAGGAATGGGAATAAGATTTACTGGGGAAACTTAGAAAGCAAGAGTCAGGCACAAGAGGCATAGAGTTCTCAATCCTCTCATAATCCCATGGAGAGGTGAACCAGGGGCAAGAACAAGCCATTTCACATGCAATAGGTTGGGGCTCTGGTCCTGACCCAATTATTCTATCTTGTCAAGGATAAACTTGAACACCACTTTTCAGTAAGACAACAAGCAGACTACTTGATTGCCGGGCAGTCTGGGTTTAGATGCTAGCAGAGCTGAGGAAGCATCTGAGGACCAGATGCCCAACACCTGGAGACCATGCATCCTATGGACAGTTGCAGCCCCTTCGTGTTAGAAAGTGTAAGCAGCTGGTCTCATGCAAAGCTATACGTAGGTGCAGCCCCTCTTTCCAAGAGGAACGGGAAACTCCAGTTGTAGCTAGCACATTTCCTGGGCAATCTAGAGTGAGATCCCAGGATCATTTCTGAATAGTTCTGCTTATTGCCCCATAGAATATTAAGTAAAATGTAGCACACAATATCTTTAGTACAGTATTAAGTACTCAATAAATATTAGCTATTATAGTTAGTCCCATTTGGCTATCGCTCCTTTTGTTCAACTTCCTTAGGAACATGATATGAGTAGAGTGTCAGAAGTGATTGACAGGGATAAACTTAGTCATTTCTGGGTTCTTTAGCAAAAATAATAATCTAAAACCACCTCAAACCTCACCCTAACTCTTTTAACAGAGACTTATAATCACATCAACATCTACATTAGCCCACAGCTTTAAAACTCATGTGTATCTTTGTTTCCAAACCGCTTTCTAACTGGTCTCCCCAATTCCAGTTTCTCTACTATCTAGTTTGAATTTCACGGTTGTCAGTGTTTTCTTCCTGAAATATATTATCATATAATTAAAAAGTTTTGCTAATTATTATGTTGGCAAAGCTGGGGAAAAACAGGCTGCCATTTCTGTGTAATATAGAATAAGGTAGGACCAGTAGATCCCATGATCATGTGCCCTTTGTAACACATCCTTCACAGTAAAGTGAGTCCCTTGGTCTGAGATGTAAGGCAAGGTTCCATGTCAGTACATCAGACATTGTGAGTCCTTGGGTAGTATTAGCAGGGGCATTGGAGACAGGGAAGCAAAATTATACCTGGAATACATACAAATCCCTATAAGGATGAGTCTCTGCCCACTGCAAGGTATTAATAGAAAGGGTTCAAAGTGATCAATCTGCCACCAAATGGCTGCTTAATCTTCTCAAGAGATCATACCATGTTGAGGGTTCAATGACAGTGCTAACTGTCCTTTTCTGTCTAATAAAATGAAAAGGATCCCAATCCTTACAGAACATAAAAAGAAAATATATGTGTTAGGCCGGGGTTTCCCACCCTCAACTTACCAGCTGTGACACTGTTGGTAAGTTTATTATCTTCTCCAGGCCTATCTAAAAATTGGGATAATGATAATACTTACCCCATTGGATTGTTTGAGAATTAAATGAGTTAGCACACATAAAGCATTTAAAACGACACCTGACCCAGAATAAGCGCGCTCTATTCAAATGTTTGCCAAATATATTTTTTAATGTTTAATATTAAAGGATGGCTTAAAGGAGGAGAGCAAATGGACGAGAGAAAAACAGCCGAGAAGAGGTTAAAAATAAGATGCCTCTGCTGGCGGGACCCTCCCTACCCACCTCCCCGCCCCGCCCCGCCCCAGAGTTCCCGCAAAGGGGCTTCCCCGCTCGGACTCGACGCCGCCACGCAGACCTGCCCCGCGGCCTCAGCTTCCCGGCTGTGTGGCCCAAGTATAGCCCGAAGCCCTCCGTCCCCTTTCTCCCCAGGCGAGGTCGAAGGAACCACGACCCCATTCGCGGCTAGGAAACAAGAAACCGAACGCTTTTCCATTCCGCAGTCTCCATGGTAACGCGTGCTTCGCTTTTCTAGCACCCGCGGAAGACTCTTCTCTTTGGTCCAGCCCTGCAGACACCGGGAAGCTGTGCTGTCTGAATCAGCTTGGCCAGTGTTGCACTGTTACCATTTGGGAGGAACAGATTAGCTTGAATATGAAATTTATCCTCTTCAGTATACAAAGAGAAAAACAAAGAAAATGAAAGCACGAGTCAATTAGAATTACTTGAATATAAGCTCCACGGGGCAGAGATCTTTAACCGTTTTGTACATTCATGTTATTCCAAGCTCTTAGTACAGTTGCTTTTAGAAATATTTGTTGAAGAATGAATTGAAATGAGTCTGAACAAAATGGACGCAAAGCAGCTTTGACTGATCTATCACCATTTGACTGTTCTCAGTAGCTTTATTTTAAAAAGAACCATAAGTCACATACATTTAAATGTGCTATAACTTTTAGGATCATGAGGGCCAACAAGCATACGTTATAAGTAATGTATTCTGTATTTTCAAGAATATATTTCCAATATATGGTATTTTTCTATAATATATTTTTATCATGTTATGTTTCAATATAATGATTATGAGCAGAACCTTGAACAGAAAATTGTTCCATCTATGTAAGTAATAAGGTTAAACACAAAAGATATATTTAAAAGTTTGGGGAAGTAATAAATACTTTTTTTACTAGATTTTATCTTTTAGAGCAGTTTTAGGTTCACAGCAAAATTGAGCTGAAAGTACAGAGATGTCCCATACTCCTTGCTCCACACATGTGTAGCTCTCTCACTCTCAGCATCCCCAACCGGTGGGGTGAACCTACATTGACAATCACCTGGAGTCCGGACAAATGTATAGTGGCATGTATCCACCATTACATAATCATACGTAGTATTTTCACTGCCCTAAAAATACCCTTTGTGCTCGGCCTGGTCATCCTTCTCCACTTCCAACCCCTGACAACCACTGAACTTTTTTTTCTTTGGTTAAGATGCTACATATATGATCTTTTTACTGTCTCCATAGTTTTGCCTTTTCCAGAATGTCATATAGTTGAAATCATACAGAATGTAACCTTTTCAAATTGGCTTCTTTCACTTAATAATATGCATTTAAGTTTCCTCTATGTACCATAGTAAATACTTTTTAGATTGTTCTTTCCCATATTAGAATATAAACTTTCTACCAAAAATTATGGGAAATTACCCTTTTAGAAGGGAAAATTCCAAGAAAACAATTATTTCAAAAAGATTGCCAATATTTTTTAAATGAAATATCAAAGACAAAAAAAATACTTGCTAGCAAGTTCTGAGTTGAACTGAAAAACAATCAGGTTAATTAAAAAGATTATTGGAAGGAAAATGGAAAGACCTGTCTATGGCAGTTAAAATGGATGAGCTAGAGCCACATTTTTCATGAAGGATAAATCTCAAAACTACATGTAAAGTTGAGTACAAATTACATAGTAACCCCTATAATGTATTCTTGCCAAAAATATTGAACCAAAATGAAATCAAGTATTTAGAGCTCAAAGGATATGTACAAACTGAAACTATTTGTATAAAATTTGTAAAACATGTAAATTATACTATATAATATTTGTGGCTACCCACGTATGTACTAAAAATATGTGAACATGCATGGGAATAATAACATCAAAATCAAGATAGTAGTTAACCTGGGAAGGAAGGGGGAAGGAATTGGTGAGGAGTAGACATGGTGATTTAATTGTGTATATAATCTTTTATGTCTTAAGCTAGATGTTGAGTGTTCTTTATATTACTCTTTAGTATGCCTGAAATATTTGCTATTTTTTTCAAAAGCCCCAGGAAATGAATTTTGTAATTTTGACAGATGGCAGAAGGGCCATAAAATTACTTAACATTATCAGGCTTTCATATCTCCATCAAGTGTCGTGACCTTCAAGTTGAGAATGATAGGACAAACATTTACATAAGGAAGGTAGTTAAACAGTAACTACAAGTTTTCATGCCCAGCTTAAAGCATACTAAAGTTCAGGAGGATTGGCCACAGGACCCCTGAAGCCCATTTTTGAGTAGTGCAACAAATGCCCAAGTCTGACAAATATCCAAATTTTCAAAAAGTAAGAAGGTGAACTGTGGAATTAACAGGGTGAAAAATTTGACATGGATCCCTGGTAAAATTCCAGTATTAATTATTTTAGGAGATGTTTTATGAGCGATTGTGGTTAGCCTAGAGGAAATAATGTAAATAAATGTCTCTTAATCCAACTAGATTATTAAAGTATATGCTAACAGTCTACTGTGGAAGTATCTTTATAACAGCAAAGGGTATAGCAGTCTTTCATGAATGTATTGCACAAAAATATGTGAACTGGACATTATTACTATTAAGTAGATTAATATTGGGAAGAAAGACTGTACCCAGTCAGCCTGGAAGGTAGATGACCACGCATAGCATCTCTCCTGTAGCTCCTTGCACAGTGCCTTTGCACAGTATTCACTAAAGTCCTTTACAAAATTATAGACTTAGTATCCTTAGGGATCATTCTACTTAAAATGCCAATTTCCATTAGATGAGAATAAAATTTTATAAAATTGGGGGATTGAAGAAATTATTTTTGTATAATGATTTTTATTCAGCAAGCAATATGGCCAGGCATTTTCATATACAATATATGTATATTAACCCTCTCACAATGAATTTGTGCATAAGGGATTTGTTTTCACTATTTTACAGATGCAGCAATTAAGACACAGAGAAATTAAGTAACTTGCTCACAGTATCATAGCTAACAAGTTGCAGAATCAGGAACAAGATCTTCTCAATATAAAGTTTCTGCACTTCCCATAATACCACTTTATTGCTACTGTGCCAAGTATTTTCTTACCTCCTTTGTCTTTGAATAAATAGAAGACCCGACTGGGCTGGAAAGGCTGCATTTATATCCAAAGTAGTCTAGGTATGAGATCCAAGAGTCTGAAATCATTAGATTCTCTTCTAATTTTATCCTCTTTTGTACAAACAAGTTTTTAATCTCTTGGGCCTCAATTTTCTCAAGTATAAAATGAAGAAAGTATACCTCATTACCATTATAGTATCTTCCAGGTTTGCAGTTATTCTCATCATGAAATTTGATGCCAGGCAATGTGTTAAGTGATTTCCACGTATTAACTAATTTATCCTTATAACGGCTCTGAAATTTAGGTATTTACACTGGACCCATTTTGCAGATAGGCAAACTAGGGTGGGTCTAAGGTATGATACACACACATTGTGAGTGGGGTAGCCAGGATTTAATCTCATAATTAAGCAAATTTTATTTCATTTTGATACATTTTTAAAACAGCTAACCATGACTATTCACAAAGGTATGCAATCCTTGCCCCCACTGAAAGCACCAGAACACCTTGGAAAAATGGCTGATTCCAGGTCTGAGGCAGGAAATGTATGACATGTGTCTGAAACATTTATCTTGCCATAAAGGAAAAAAGCAAAGACGCTTAGAGTTGGATGAAAAGAACACAGGAGATAAAATAAAGGGACTCCCACTGACCAAAGATGAAATAATTTGAACATTAAAAAGAATAACTACTGCAATTGATTGAGACTCATTGAATGTATTTTTTTAAATCCATGTGTTCATATTGATATGCAAAAAGAGAAAACAAAATTTTGCATTAGTTATCAACTGATGCAGAACACTTGATGTTGTGCACAAAAAGAGAAAACAAAATTTTGCATTAGTTGCACAAAAAGATTTTACATTAGTGCACATTAGATGCACAAAAAGAGAAAACAAAATTTTGCATTAGTTATAAAACTTAGAACCAAACATCTGTTGCAGTTTCCTCCCTCAAAGCCATTCCCCAGCTTCTGAAGACCAGAAATCTGGGAGCAGCTTGGCTGGTGGTCCTGCGTATGTCATAAGGTTGCACCCAAGACATCAACCAGGGCTGCAGTCATCTGAAAGCTTGACTAAGGTAGAAAGATCCACTTCCAAACTCACTCATGTGTCTGCTGGCAGGAGGCTTCAGTTCCTCACCACCTGGGCCTCTCCTTACAACATGGCATTTGGCTTTCCCAAGGGTGTGTGATCTACGAAAGAAAAACAGACCAAAACAGAAGCCGTAGATTATTTTATAACCTAATATTAGAGATAATGTAGCATCGGCCAGGTGCGGTGGCTCATGGCTGTAATCCCAGCACTTTGGGAGGCCAAGGTGGGCAGATCACTTGAGGCCAGGAGTTTAAGACCAGTCAGCCAACATGGCGAAACTCTATCTCTACTAAAATATAAAAATTAGCTGGGCATGCTGATGCATGCCTATAGTCCCAGCTACTTGGGAAACCGAGGCAGGAGACTCACTTGAACCCGGGAGGTGGCGATTTCAGTGAGCCAAGATCGCGCCACTGCACTCCAGCCTGGGCAACAGAGCAAGACTCTGTCTCAAAAAACAAAACAAACAAACAAACAAACAAAAAAAACATAGCATCACTTTTACCAGATCATTCAGTTACACAAACCAACCCTGGTACAATGTGGAAGGGGGCTACACAAGGATGTGAATGCTGGACAGTAGGGCCCAGCTAGCCATTTTATAGGATGGCTATCACATTTTGTAAGGTGGTTACCATTGATGGCACCTAAGGCACAACTGCTTTTTCTGAAAATTGGCAATTATGTTGAAAATTAAACAGTCTTTCTTTCCTGTACAAACTACATTTCAGGATAACCAAATAGCCCTAAATTGCTAAATTGATGAAGGAAAGTTTTTCTTTATAGAGGAGTTCTAACTAATAAATGTGAAAAAATTATTGAATTAGAAAAATTACAATTTTACAAACTCTAATGAAATGGGGTGGCTGAATCTATCAGATTAAAAGCCAGTGGGAAAGTTTACATGGAAGGATTCAGCTATCAAGTATTAAACCCACTGGTCAATCTTAGCATCAAAAACATTATATGCTTCCTGATGTGTGGCAAAAAGTACATAGCACCACCTAAGGATTCTTACTAACAAAGTTAAACCTAACTCTAATCAAACCTTTAGAGGTAACATCAAGTTTTACAGGAAATATGAGGCTAGAGAAACTAATAAAATGGGGACACAAATAGACAAAGCCAGCATGTAGAACATTCAGGACAAATGTCCCAATTTGTTCAATTAGTTGACTATATGAGGGGAAGACGAAGAGGAGGATGGAAGGAGGAACTAGTTCAGATGTGAATTTTAAAAGAATTAAGACACATGCCCAAATTAAATACTGGAACTTTAGATCTTGAATGAAATAGAAAACAAATGTAAGAAGCATATGTATATATTTAGGGAAATATAATATGGACTTGGTATTAGATGATAACCAGGAATTATTTTGTTAAATGGGATAATGGTATTGTGATTCTGTAGGAAAATATCCTTTTTAAAATAAATGCATAATGAAGTTGAAAGTAAGATATTTGGGGTTTGCTTTAAAACGTTTCAGCAAGAAAAAATGGAGATGGATGAAACAAGTGTGGCAGAATTTTATGTATTTTTAAATGTAAATGATGGGTATATATGGGTTAATTATACTCTTCTTTCGACTTCTGCATGGGCTTAAAATAGTCTTTACTTTTGAAAAAGACATTCAATTATTTGTGTTCTTAGTTAATATTTAAAAGTAACTTTTTCATATATTTGTCACAAAACTTCTGTCCATTCCTATCTAGAGGTTCCTCTACATGGGAAAAAAGGAGCAAAAGGGTAATATTTCTGCAACCCCTTTGCACAGGCCATAAACGCACGCAAACTCCTAGAAGGCTGAGCCGCGAGGAGGAGGGCGGAGAGTTTAAGGGAACGCCTAGACCAGAGAGTTGACGCCTTTCCTAGAAAATCACCGGAAATGATAATTGGCGGACTAGGAAGTGGAGCTTCTGTATATTTCTGTTTCTCATTTCTTGGGGAGAGTACCGGCGGGAAGGTCTGTGCCTTGGGCCGTCGTGGGTCGGAATTTGCAGCTGAGAGGAGAGGAGTCCGGTGCCGCCGTCGCCCCCCTCACCTAAATACCCGGGCCCCTGGGGTTGCAGGCAGGGGCGGGTCTTTGGGGCCATATTTGAGGAGGGAGTCGGCTGCGGTTTCCTCCCTCGAAGCCATTCCCCAAAATGAGCATTTCCCGCCCATTTGCCCTACCTCCTCCCAGGGGCTCGTGACCCATTTTTTTTTTTTTTTTTTTGGGACCGGAGTCTTGCTCTTGTCGCCTCCTGACCCATTCTTTTTATTCTTCTCTACAGCATCCATTCATATATTCATTCAGTCAGCTAATTTTTAATCCAGCACATACTATTGCAAGCGCTGTTTTAGGCGTTGAGAATACAACTGTGAACAAGACGACAAAAATTCCTGCCCTCATGGAGCCTAAGAGCCTAGATTTTAGCGAAGGTAGAACCACCGTAAACAATGTATATATTAATAAGTAACTTATGCACCATACTGGAAAATTATAAAGTGCTATAGAGGAAAAGAAGAATTCATGTAAAGCAAGGTAAGGCCCATCAGGATTGGAAGGAGGGGATAGGCTGCAATTTTAAATAAGGCACTCAGAGTAGACCTCCTTGGGAAGATGACCTATAAGAAAACACTTGAAGGAGGCAAGATTATTAGCCATGGAGATCGCTTAAGGTGAAGGGAGCAGCCAATGGAAAGGCCCTAAGATGAAAGAGAAGGAAGGTCGGTATGGCTGAAGATTGAGGGAGTGGGAGAAGAGTAGAAGGTGTTGAGAATGACACATCCTGTAGACTTGTATGCCACTCTTAAGACTTCAGCTCTTATTTTGGGTGAGCAGGAGAGGAAGTTAGAAGTCACGGGCACATTCAGTAGGGCCTTGTATACCTCGGTAAGGACTTCAGGTTTTATTTTAAGTATGAACCACTGGAGAGTTTTCAGCAGAGCGATGAAATGATCCAACTCAAGTTGTAAACGGACTACTCAGACTGCCCTATTAAGAAAGGAGGAAGGCAAGGATTGAAGAAAGGAGACCAGTTAGAAGACTACCGCAGTAATGGAAAGGAGGGGAGATAGCAGGTGATGGTGGCTCAGACAAGGGTGGTAGCCGTTGAGATTGTATTCTGGATACGTTCACATTTTCAGTTTGACTTCGTGCCTCAGGTTCTCAGTGACTCCCTATTTTTTCCTGTGGTCACATTCCTCTTTTCCCTTCACCAAATATGCAGGGAAACAAGATGTGAGATCACAGCGGTTTAGTGTTGCTAATGAACCCCAAATCCAGGGCAGTGTTTGACACATTAAGCCAAACAGTAGCGGCACTGTGGGTCAAGAAGGGCCCTTTGGCTGGCACCACCAAAACATGTGTTCTCCAAAGGAGGCTGGCATCAACTGGAGCCACTTCACAGCTTGTTTGAGAACTGGATCTGACCAGTAGGAAGAAACCAGGACAGCAGTGGAAGACTGTTAAAGAAACCTGAGTAAAAAGATGCAGGAGGTAAGAAGAGGAGGGTCTGTGATACATCACAAGGAGGAAGAAGGAGAAGTGAGTCCAAGAAAGAAGGAAAGCAGTGTGAGTGGAGGTGTGTCTGACTCTAGATACTGTTGGAGGTGTCTCCTCCTAGATACTGTTTTTGCTGCTTGACCTGGTGATCATTAAAGCTTTGTAGTTGTAGATGCCATTTCTAGTTTTCATAAGGTATTAGGAACTGAGTCCATTATTTTCTCCCTTCTTTTGGTATTTCTGGGAGACAGTTTCTGTGGATAGACCTGTATGGTTGCTTGCATCTTCCTATGTATTTTTCTCACCTTCATAACTTTCCTGAATTCATTCTGTGTCTTGCAATAGGTTGTGCTGTTGGATGAGAGTTCAGGACCACCAAGCCAGCTGCTTTGGACCCGCCAGGATACCCAGCTCCCTCAGGAAAGCGGTGAGATACACAGGAGATTGTGGCAGGAGTCACGGCAGCTGAGAATGTAGTAAGGACACAGAGTGGGTGGAAAATGCCACACTGGGGCCCAAAAATCTGTTCATTAATGAGCATTTATAGAAAGTCTTATTTTGTTTCTATACGAGGCTTGGATCAATATCTAGAGGAACTAAATATTCAGTTTCTGTCAGTATCTTAAATTTTGAAAAAAATCAGTGTGTAAAAGATTCTACAAAGCAATTTATCAGAAAGAATCAATGCAGTCAGGCATTTACTGTTTGTATAACCTGAGATATATGGTAAATAGCGTACATATTTGCACATATTTTACACTTATAAAACTTGTGGTATAATTCAGTAATTCCTACCCAAACATAATTTTGCCAACATGTAAAATTTGAATATATACAATTTTACTTCTGCAGACCTTTCTGGAGCCCTGATACTTTTAAATGATGTATAGATATCTCCAAAATATAAAATAAAGCAGTGACAAAAGAAGAAGCAAAAGTTTTCCCATTGAAGCCTTGTGCTCTTTGGTGGCATATGTGAGGAGGAAAAGTGGTTAAGATTTGTATAAAAGCTGATGGTAGGCCGGGTGCGGTGACTTATGCCTGTAATCCTAGCACTTTGGGAGGCCTAAGTGGGTGGATCACTAGAGGTCAGGAGTTCATGACCAGCCTGGCCAATATGGTGAAACCCCATCTCTACTAAAAATACAAAAATTAGCCAGGTGTGGTGTAATGCACCTGTAACCCCAGTTACTCAGGAGGCTGAGGCAGAAGAATTGCTTGAACCCAGGAGGTGGAGGTTGCAGTGAGCTGAGATCATGCCACTGCACTCCAGCCTGGGCAACAGAGTGAGACTCTGTCTAAAAAAAAAAAAAAAAAAATTGCTGTTGGAGGTGCAACCTAGGAGATGGTATATAGCAATTCAGGAGTCATAAAATCAAACCCAGAAAGGCATAGACTTTTGGACAGAGGAGTAGGCACATTCAAAAGTAAGCTTTTTAGTATATGCTACCTGCAAAAAATAAAAATAAAATGTGTTTCTAGATATAGTGTTGAAACATCTAGAGGAGGAATCCTGAGATATCTGCTGTACAAGGGATCATAAATGAGAATTAATAATATAGAACATAAATTTTTTATAGATTTAGAAATAAAAAATAATAGCTATTGCTAAACTCGGATGCACGAGTCTCCCAGTCTTCTTTTTCTCAAATGGTCGTGAAATCTGCTGTGGTGGATTTTCAGGGTCAGAAATTCTGTAGCCACCTATCATATAATACAATACAAATGTATTAATCTTATCCCACAAGATATCTGTATACTGCTTTAACAAAAAGTTTTATGTTGTTTTTTCATGTAGCCTGTTTCCTAAATTCATTTTTAACTTAAGAGGAATAACCTTTCAATTTCTAAAGCTAAAGCTAAAAAATAAAGCTTATGAATCACTATGAGTGACAGACTTTCCCAGTTGTGAAGAAGATATGGTAAAAACCAGTAGGGAATGAGTTACATAGGGGTATGCTTTTGTCAAAGTTTCTCTAAGGGTACATTTAAGACATGTGCATTTCATTATATGTAAATTTTACCTCGAAAAAGAAGGTAAACAAATGTTGAACTTCCAGTTAATGATATACATGTTAAACTGTTTAGGGGTGAGGTGTACTGATGCTTTCAACTTACTTTGAAATGATTCAAAAAATAAAATACATTAATGAACAGAGAGAGGAATAGATAAATGGATAAGTATGTGATAAAGTAAATATTGCAGAACGTAAATTGTGGAATGTAAGTGATTGGTATATGGATATTTACTATATAATTTTTTCAACTTTTCTATACACTTGAAAATATTCATAATAAAATAATGGTTGAAAACATCCAATTGAGAGCTTTAAGTGTGTTAATGTTATAAGGAAAAGAACTGTTATGTAACATTAACAAGGCACAAACATGTGTCTGCTGTGAGTTGTGTGCCATCCAGATGAGTTTAGACTTTTTGAGACAGTTATAAAGGAGCTCGGAGCTTTTAGAGTGAGACAGTGGAAAAACTGTATGGAACCACCATGACTGAGATGCAGCCTTGGTCTTGGTCAAAAGCTATAAGTAGCTGAAACTAAAGAAGAGTCTTCTTGGGCAATTTCAGTGAAAAGAAATCAGCTTGGTTCTAAATCGGTTTTTCGTAAAAATGGAATGATAGTCTTGGAGGTCTAAATCCAAAGGGTGATTATAAAATCTTACCAATAGATTACTTTGACCCTGCTGGTGTCTTAAAAGCAGACAGCAATTATTCAGATTTGGACTTGGCGATGTGTTGATAAACTATCAAGAAAAATAAGGCACCTTAAACACTGAAGCTACAGAAAGATTGAGCTGGCCTGCAAGGAATAAAGTCAGGCCCTATTAATTAGTAATATGAACTACTTCTCAGCTGGGCGTGGTGGCTCATGCCTGTAATCCCAGCACTTTGGGAGGCCGAGGCGGGTGGATCATGATGTCAGGAGATGGAGACCATCCTGGCTAACATGGTGAAACCCCATCTCTACTAAAAATACAAAAAATTAGCCAGGCATGGTGGTGGGCACCTGTAGTCCCAGCTACTTGGGAGGCTGAGGCAGGAGAATGGTGTGAACCCAGGAGGTAGAGCTTGCAGTGAGGCAAGATCACGCCACTGCACTCCAGCCTGGGAGACAGAGCGAGACTCTTAAGTCTCAAAAAAAAAAAAAGAAACTACTTCTCACCCAATCATATGGATTATACCTGAACACTTGGACACTCTTTATAAAGTTTCTTTTGCATTTTAAAATGCTCTGTGTGCTATACTATATTGACATAGGGAGGATAACTCAGTACTAGGGAATTAGTAGGAAAAATGTGCAAAATCGGGAAGAATGATTCTTCTCTAAGAGGAATAAGGAAAAAAATTTGTAACTAACTGGAGGTAGACCAGCCATTAAGTTACCTGAAAAAATAAGCTTTGGTCCTATCCCTGGATGCTTCTGTTCAACACATATGCACACACACACATACGCGTGCATGCACACACTCTTTTTCACCCTCCTTCTACCCCAAGTATTTTGGAAGAAATGACTTCAGTATTCAAATACAGGAAGAAGGTCTATTCAAAACCAGGGAGTAAGTGATTTGGGTCTTTTTACCAGATCTGTTTGGGGAGGGGGAAAGTTTATTCCAGGACAAAGACCACAGGAAAACAGTAGGTGAGACAGGAAAAGAGTGCATTTCCAAGAGCTGCCTTGGCTGCTGTGCCAGGGCCTGATGCCCAACACTGGAAGTTGAGACTAGAAAAATAATGAAGAGGAAGGATACTGTAAGGCAGTAGCCTAAAGCCCTAGGTTAGAGCTGCAGAAGCTTCTACATTTGAGGAAGAGAAGACGAATGCAGGAGATTTCATTAATACTGTGCTATATTGACTCTTGGCTTACTTATCTTCCCTCAGCTCTATTACCTGCTCCATATCCTGCCTTCACTAAAGATGGAAGCCAAGGAAACCTGCCGCAAGCAGATATCACACTAATGAGCCAGGCCCAAGTGAGCTGAGGCCCCTTTCCTCCTCCTTGAAAATACATCACTACCTCCAAAATATGGCCTTGTTTTCACTGCGTTCTCTGGCTGTGCAACTCCTAAATCAATGTTCTCCCTCTCATAAGGAACATTTTGTTGCATGATAAACCACTTGTGGGTTGTTTTCTCTTTCATTATTTTTTGCTATCAAAACCCCATGCTCCCTTTCATCTCATTTGTACATACCCACCAAAAGGGAAGAGCCTTTCACTTCTATAAACCTCCTCCTTGCAAATTCCTTTCTTCTGCCTCTGTTTCCTGAGGAAACTATGGCGTTTTCTCCAGGATAGCAGGAGCATATTATTTCAGGAGTCAGTGACATTTGAGGATGTAGCTGTGAACTTCACTAACAGGGAGTGGCAGTGTCTGACCTACGCTCAAAGGCATCTCTATAAGGATGTGATGTTGGAAAATTATGGGAACATGGTATCACTTGGTAAGGACCTTCCCTACACTTAATGCTTTCTACCTTCTTTTTTTATTATTTAATTGATTTATTTATTGATGTATATAAGGTCTCATATTGAAAGAGTCCTTATTCTTTATCATCAGGATCTTGCCCAAAAATTAAGAGTTTTGAGTTGCCTCTATTACATAGCAAGATAATTTTTTGGCTAACCTAGTTGCTGTTTTCTGATTTGGAATGAGTTAAAAGGAGACACTTACCTTCTGTTTTCCCTGGGTTCTTGCTTCCTCAAGCCTCTCATTTTTTTATGGGGTGTTCTATATTCCGCTCCTAGTCAAGAACTGCCTTCTATGTGCCTGAAACTGATAGTCTTCCTATACCAGACTCCCATTCTCCTAAAGTAAAACAAAATAAAATTAAAAAAAAAAAAAACAGGAGAGCACACCCAAATGACTGTTTCCCAGAACTTCTCTTTCCTTCTGAGTGTGACTTTTCTGAGAAAGTCCCCAAACATGTTCTTTTACATGTTACTAGACCCCTGAAAAACCCTTTTCTCTATCTAAATTAACATTTCTTTCCTGTTTTCATATACAAACAGAAGGATCAGGGCTGCTTAGCTAAGTTATAAGTTATTAAGTTATAAGTTACTCTACACACTTATTTCTTCTCTGCAACCAGGATTTCCATTTCCTAAACCTCCTTTAATCTCTCATCTGGAGCGAGAAGTAGACCCCTGTGTGCAGGATCCACAGGACAGGGAGTCCCTAAGCTGCTCCTACCCAGGTGAGTAATAGAGAAACTTTCAGTTCCCTCTGATCTTCCATGTGGCATAATGGTTATGGAACATTCTCAGTGGTGGATCATCCAGTCGAAGGGCCCAGAAAGGAAACCCATTTAGGAAACTTAAGGAAAAGAAAATTGAAACAGTGACAAACTATTTGGGCAATTATTCTGTTATTATCTAATTGGTTCTTTGCAACCTATCTAATAGATTTTTGCAATTTGGCCCTCAAAAAAGGCTCAGAGGCTGGGCACAGTAGCTCATGCCTGTAATCCCAGCAATTTGGGAGGCCAAGATGGGCAGATCACCTGAGGTCGGGAGTTTGAGACCAGCCTGGCCAGTATGGTGAAACCCCATCTCTACTAAAAATACAAAAATTAGCTGGGTGTGGTGGTGCATGCTGGGTGTGGTGGTGCATGCTGGGTGTAATCCCAGCTGCTTGGGAGGTCTGAGGCCGGAGAATCATTTGAACCCAGGAGACAGAGGTTGCAGTGAGCTGAGATCACACCACTGCACTCCAACCCGGGGGACACAGTGAGACTCCACCTCAAAAAAAAAAAAAAAATCTCAGAATATTTATTACCCTTCTGTGTGTCAGTTACTGCAGTGCTCATAAATTGAGACAGGTGAGAGTCATTCTAGGCAGAAGGAATAACATGTGAGAAAGCATTGAGGAATAAAATAATATGAACTATGAATTGTTCAGTGTGAGTAGAGCAGGGGACTTAGAATAGCTTTGGGGAGGTTCATAAGTAGTAGAAAGGGGCAAGATCATGATATGACGTCTGTTTTTTGGGAGTTTTCTTAAGGAATTTAAACTACAAAACTTGAACTTACAATAACAGCTAATATTGATTAAAGTACTTCAGTGTGGCATGTGCTTTACATACATTAACTCATTTAGATAAAGCAACTGAGGCAAAGGAGAAGTGAAGTCATCCTCCCAAGTTCACACAGGTATTAAGATTTATTAACTGTCATACTAGGATTTGAACCCAGGCAGTCTCACTCTAGAGCCAGGACTCTTGACCGTATGCTTTACTTTCTTCCTGTCTGGTTAACTATGGAGTGCCATTGAAGTATTTTAAGCTAAAAAGTGACATGATTAGACTTGATTTTCAGAGAGAATAATCTGGAAGCAGTGCAGAGGATGGATTAGAAGGGATTCAGGGTAAAGGATGTTTGAGGGATATAGCAATTAGTGAGAATGCACTGGCAGTGGAAATAAAGAGGAAGAGATAGAGTTCAGAGATAATATTAATAAGATGTATTTGGAGTCTTTGGTTGACAGCAATAGAAATTAACCCAAGCTAGCTTAAGCAGAAAAACATGAATTTATTTATTATTCAGGATGTGTCATGGGACCTAAGGGCAGCTATGTGTCAGGCCCTAGAAGAGACTCAAAACCATCAGGTTTCCAACTGTATTCCCTGCTTCTTTGTGAGTCAGCTTCATTCTTCTTTCTAGGCAAATTGACCTTCTCTTCTTCTCGGACCAGATGGCAGAACATTCCCTCCTCTGTACCAAATACCATCCCACCACCACTAGTTCTCAAATTTAAGTGCTAAAGACTGAGCTACTCTTAGAGCTGGCCTTACCTGCCGTCAGATCACAATTCTAAAGTCCAGGATTAGAGAATCTGACCTGGTTTGGGTCAGGTATTGCGCAGATCTAATCTGCCCCAACCAGATGGGCTGAGTCACATAACAGAAATATGGCTCTCCAGGGCCCACCCTTGGGAGCAAAGCAGACAGTTCCTTGAAAAGGGACTGCATCAGCATTTCAGCACCTCCTCTGTAACTCTCTTCACAGGTAGAATTTGTAAAATGTTAGCTGGGTAAATACAAGGGAGACAGAGTTGAAGATTATTTTGTTTTGTGGCTTAGATGACTAGGTGTATAGAGTTTACACTCACTAAACTAGGAGACTATAGAGGAGGAATAGGTTTTTAAGGATTTTTTATAAAGTGTGCTGAGTGTAAAATATCTCAATACTTTTCATTATTTCAGCCTGTTCTGACTTTTGGCCACAACGTTAGTAATTTTTCCAGCATGGAAAAGTTATTTACTCTTCAAACAGCTTAACATTGCTTCACGCCTCCCATCTCACTTATTTCCTTCCCTCTGACATTTGTATTTTCTTGTTTAAGTGTCAGCTGACAAGATGTGGCCTGAGAATGAAAAGGCAAGTTCACAACAAGAGATTTTTGAAAATGGAGAAGCCTACTGGATGAAATTTAACAGTCTCCTAAAAGTTGATTCCCGGGATCCTAAGGTTAGAGAAGTTTGTGTTCAGGATGTCAAATTAGAGAATCAATGGGAAACATCTATAAGGGAGAAACTGAGAGAAGAGAAAGAAGGCTCTGAGGAAGTGACCTGCAAAAAAGGAAAGAACCAGAAAGTGCTTAGTAAAAACTTGAATCCAAACTCAAAACATAGTCAATGTAATAAAGTTCTTATAGCACAGAAACTCCATGAATGTGCCAGGTGTGGCAAAAACTTCAGTTGGCACTCAGATCTAATTCTCCATGAGCAAATTCATTCTGGTGAGAAACCCCATGTGTGTAATGAGTGTGGGAAAGCATTCAAGACCAGAAATCAGCTTTCTATGCACCGGATAATCCACACAGGGGAGAAACCTTTTAATTGCACCCAGTGTGGGAAGGCTTTCAACAGTAGATCAGCTCTTTGCCGACATAAAAAAACCCACAGTGGGGAGAAGCCTCACGAGTGCAGGGACTGTGGGAAGGCCTTCAAGACCAGGAACCGTCTCTGTATGCATCAGCTTATCCACACCGGGGAGAAGCCTTACAAATGTAACTGCTGTGGGAAGGCCTTCCAGTTTAAGCATTCCCTTACCATCCATGGCAGAATCCACACTGGGGAGAAGCCATATGAATGTGAGGAGTGCGGGAAGGCCTTCAGTGGGAGTTCAGACCTCACCAAACACATAAGAATCCACACTGGGGAACGACCTTATGAGTGCAGCAAGTGTGGAAGGGCCTTCAGTCGGAGCTCAGACCTAAGCAAACACAAACGAATCCATACTCGGGAGAAACACTATGGGTGTCCCCAGTGTGGAAAAGACTTCAGCATCAAGGCAGAACTCACCAAACACAGAAGGATCCACACTGAAGAGAAACGTTACAGGTGTGAGGAGTGTGGGAAAGCCTTTCGTCATAACTGTAAGCGCAGGGCTCATGAACGAGAGCATACAGGGGAGAAGCCCTATCAATGCAGGGATTGTGGGAAAACCTTCCAAGATCAGCACTGCCTTACCATCCATCAGAGAATCCACACTGGAGAGAAACCTTACAAATGTTTAGAGTGTGGGAAAGCTTTCAGTGGGAAGTCAAACTTGACCAATCATCGAAGAATTCACACTGGAGAGAAGCCTCACAAATGTGAGGTATGTGGAATGGCCTTCCATCATAGTTCAGTCCTGAGGCAGCACAAAAGAATCCACACTGGTGAGAAGCCATACACCTGCAGTGAGTGTGGCACGTCCTTCCGTCAGGGCTCAGCTCTGATTGGACATAAGCGAGTTCATACTGGGGAGAAACCTTATGAATGTGAGGAATGTGGAAAAGCTTTTAGAGTGAGCTCAAATCTTACTGGACATAAGAAAAGAAAACATCAAGTATGGAGTACCCATGAACTTGATGGGAGTAGGAAATCCCTCTCTCCAGTGACTGTTTCTCAGACCTCAGTAGTCAGTATTTTGACCAGTGCCTGAGTATAACGATTCTGGTGTTACTTTCTGTTTTTCCTACCTCTTAGGCTGGTCCTTCTGTCTCTTATATTAGTTATTCCTGATTTCCTGACCCTTAATTGTGAGATTCCCCAAAGACATTGTCCTTTACCTTCTTATTCACTATTTTTTCAGTGAGCACATTTACTTCCAAGAGTTTATCAATCACTTCCTAATATTAATAAACACTTATTAGTGCTTGCTGTGTTCTAGGCACTGTTCTAAGGGATTTACACATTTAAACTTTTTAAATCCATACAACATCCCTATGAGATCAGGAATTTGAGGCACAGAAAGATTAACAAACTTGCCCAGGATCACGTAACTAGTAAATTCTGTGCTCAGGCTTTCCTAGGCAATTCCCATATGCGTGCACCACATCTTTCCGACATGAAGTTATACCTCAGTTCAGCAGAAAACAGTTTGTAATTTATAAACACCAATCATTTTTAGCAATTTTTTTTAACATAAAGCTAGAATGGTACTTCTCCATATTGTATCAGGATTGCTAAGATTCAAAGTGAAAAGGGAGGCAGGGAGAGAACAGGTTTAGAAATCACAGATAAGAGTCAGGCACGGGGGTTCATGCCTGTAATCCCAGCACTTTGGGAGGCTGAGGAGGGAGGATCACGAGGTCAGGAGTTCGAGACCAGCATGGCCAATATGGTGAAACCCTGTCTCTACTAAAAATACAAAAATTAGCCAGGCATGGTGGTGCACGCCTGTAGTCCCAGCTACCCTGGAGGCAGAGGTTGCAGTGAGCCAAGATCGTGTCACTGCACTCCAGCCTGGGCAACACAGCAAGACTCCATCTCAAAAAAAAAAAAAAAAAAAAAAAGAAATTACTAGTCTGACCTCCAGAAGTCTTTTGATGTTTCCTAAACACATAAAATGAATATTTTGAGAGCGTATTTGAATAAATTTTAGATTTTTACCTGGTGAAAAAGATATGTCTTGAAAATTCTGAAGGACTACTTTATGAACAGTGGGTTAATCTTGTTCTGCAACTATCCCAGAATAGAATTACAATCCACAAGTAGAAGCTACAGGACATCTGTACATTTAGGAGATACTCAACTGGAACAGATTCTGCCATAAGGTAATAAGTTTGGTAAGAATAATACTGAAGGAATTCGAAGGTCAGGTGCATAGTTGAATGACAAAACATGTTGCTTGAAACCCTAAGATATCTGTAGTTCTAATTCTGAAGAGTTACCAAACAAGAGTTAGTCTAAGTTATAATTTACATACAAAAATCACCAGGTAAAACTCACTTTTTAAATCGAATTACATTCCACGTGCAAACACAAAATTTTTACCAGAACACTGATATGAGATTATTTTTACCTTCACAAAAGAAATGGAGAATGCCAATTTCATTTAAGTTTAAGAAAGATGATAAGATACTTCTTGGTAAGGATTGTAGCTTGACTACGTGTATTTGGTATTGCTCCCCCTCAGAACTACACTAATGCTACAGTAAAACCATTCATAATCAGGAAGAATGGCAGAAGAGGCAACTACAAAATTTTGGAAACTGAAAAAAGGATAAGTAATAATGACATTGAATTTGAGAAAGCTAAATTTTAGCCTGAAGGGGGCAAGTAAAGGACAAATCTGACCGGGCACCGTGGTTGACACGTGTAATCCCAGCACTTTGGGTGGCCGAGATGGGCAGATCACTTGGGATCAGCAATTTGAGACCAGCCTGGCCAACATGGTGAAACCCTGTCTCTTTATTAAAAATAGAAAAATTGGCTGGGCTTGGTGGTGCGTGCCTGTAGTCCCAGCTACTGGGGAGTGGGAGGCGGAAGTGGCAGTTAGCCGAGATTGCACCACTGCACTCCAGTCTGGGCAACAGAGTGAGACTCCTTCTAAAAAAGAAAAAAAAAAAAAAAAAGACATTTATTTTACATCATAGAATCTTTAAGCGACTCAAGAATTGGTGGCACCATGTACCCCTGGAAATGAGAATGAATAGACTAAAACGAGGAGAGTCTGTCAGAGGCTATTTAGGAAGCAAGCAGAGTCCTAGGTCCTCAAGCCCAAAGAAGACTGGAGGTTTATTTTCTGAAGAAGGTTAAACAAAGGATATGTGGGCTAGACACATGGAGGACAGGAATTCCATTTGAAAAAGGAGCATACTGAATGTCAACGCCTCCAGCCTACTTTCCTTATCTCCCAGAAAGATGAGGGTCTGGCTTTCACCTCCCAGACAAAAGACGCAGTTTTCAGTGAGAAATCCAACCAGAATAGACTTGAAGATACATCAGGAGTTTCTCAGCAAGTGGCCTAGCCAGATAACCTGTAGTGAACATCAGCAAGTCATAGTCGTGCCATCAGAGCTTCCCATAGGTTTTATAGTCCTCCTCTATTAAAAAAAATGTATTGGCCGGGCGCAGTGGCTCCTGCCTGTAATCCCAGCACTTTGGGAGGCTGAGGTGGGCAGATCATCTGAGGTCAGGAGTTCAAGACCAGCCTGACCAATATGGAGAAACCCTGTCTCTACTAAAAATGCAAAAATTAGCCAGGCATGGTGGCGCTTGCCCGTAATCCCAGCTACTCAGAGTCTGAGGCAGGAGAATCGCTTGAACCCGGGAGGCAGAGGTTGTGGTGAGCCGAGATTGTGCCATTGCACTCCAGCCTGGGCAATAAGAGCGAAACTCCATCTCAAAAAAATAAATAAATAAAAAATAAAGTTTATTATAGAACATTTCAAACCCATGCAAGAGTTAAGGCAATAGAAAAATGAACTCCATGTACACATCATTCAGCTTCAACAATTATTACGTCAGGGTTAATCTTGTTTCATCTGTATCCCCACCCATTCCCTCTGCTTAAGATTATTTTCAAGCAAATGACAGAAATTGTGTTTCATCCATAAGTATTTAATTGTCTATAGGAGATAATGACTGTTTAAAAAAACTAACAATATGGGCCGGGCACGGTGGCTCACACCTGTAATTCCAGCACTTTTGGGAGGCTGAGGTGGATGGATTGCCTGAGGTCAGGAGTTCAAGACCAGCCTGGCCAACATGGTGAAACCCCGCCTGTACTAAAAATACAAAAATTAGCCAGGCGTGGTGGCAGGCGCCTGTAATCCCAGCTACTCGGGAGGCTGAGGCAGGAGAATTGCTTGAACCCGGGAGGTAGAGGTTGCAGTGAGCCGAGATCGCGCCACTGCACTCCAGCCTGGGCGACAGAGCAAGACTCAGTCTCAAAATAAATAAATAAATAAATAAACAAACTAACTAACTAACTAACAAACTAATAATAGAGCCAGGGGCACGACGGCCTATGCTGTAGTCCCAGCTACTTAAGAGGCTGAAGTGGGAGGACTCCTTGAGCCCTAAAGTTTGAGGTTAGCTTGGGCAATATTGCAAGACCCCATCTCTAAAAAACAAACCAAAAATATAAGTAAACTAACACTAGTACAGTTATCACACCTAAACAAAATTATCTATTTGGCAACATCATCAAAGATTCATTCGCTGTTCAAATTTTTCTCTAATGCCATTTTTTCTTAACATTAAAAAAAACCAAGCCAGGCACCATGGCTCACACCTGTAATCCCAGTACTTTGGGAGGCCAAGGCAAGAAGATCACTTGGGCTCAGGAGTTCAAGACCAGCCTGGGCAACATAGCAAGACCCTGTCTCTACAAAAAATTCAAAAATTAGCCAGGCATGGTGGTGCATGACTGTGGTCCCAGCTACTCGGGAGACGAGCTTGGGAGGTCAAAGCTGCAGTGAGCCGTGATTGTGCCACCACACTCCAGCCTGGGTGACAGAGTGAGACACTGTCTCAGAAAAAAAAAAAAAAAGTATTCAAATAAGGTCAATACATTGTGATTAGTTGGTATGTATCTTAAGTATTTTAATATATAAGTTCTCCCTATATCTCTTTTTTCTTGAAATTTATTTAATGATTAACTAGGTTGCTGGTGCTGCAGAGTTTCACAGTTTGGATTTTAATTATTGCACACCTTTGGTAGTATTTAACACATTCCTCTGCCCCTGCATGTCCTAAAAATTAATAGTTAGATCTAAGGGCTTTATCAAATTCTATATTTAGATTTGATTTGGGTAAGACTACTTCATAGGTGTCAGCACAAGCCTTTTTTGTTTAACATGACTAAAGTAGTCTTCAGTAGCCTCCTTGCTTTCTGGTGAAAAGATTTTCCAGGTTCATCTGGTATATTTCCTTAGGAAGACTCTTGTTTCTAAAACTAGTACAGGAAAAAAATATAAGATCTGAATAGTCTGATACCAATTATTTAAATAGAACCTATAATATATATTCCCAGAAATAAAACTCAAGGGTCAGATGTTTTCACCAGTTAATTCTACTAAACATGCAAGGGAAAATAATCCCAATGTTAAACTCATTTTATGAGGCCTGTATAACCTTAATACCAAACCATTAGGGAACGATGAGGAAAAACAAACAAC